>NC_000001.11:203942162-204093677 GCF_000001405.40 Homo sapiens
GTGTGGACTCTAAAACCGTATCAGTGAATCTTTCATATTCTGTTCAGTTAGAATCCATCAGTCTATCTTTCACATTGAATGGATCTTTTACCCTAATTTTGTAATATCATGCGTTTGGTTATTTGGAAAATAATAGTTGACTGAGTTATACATGTCTTCCAAATGTCAACACATTTCATTAAACAATATTTAAAAAGTCACATTCATTTGCATTCCCACTAATCTCATCAGAAAAGTCTTTAAGCAACAGAGAACTGAGCTCAAAGATGGCAGATATGACTTTCCCAATATTTTAATTTTCACTTGAAATCTGACATTTTTGCATTGGCAACAAACACCAGCAATTGTTTCCTTTGAAGTAACAGGTTCACTTTGTTCATTTTCAAGTAAAAATGATGATACATGAAAACAGCAGCTAGGTCAGCTTGCAACTCAATTGCACATATGCTTTTCCTTGAGACGATCTGCATGCTCCACTAGGTACCAGAAGGGCTTTATGTATACTTCCTATTTGTCACACAGAATATTAAAAAGATGTGTACTTGAGATTCAGGACAGGGCCGGGCGTGGTGGCTCACGCCTGTAATCCCAGCACTTTGGGAGGCCGAGGCGGGCGGATCACAAGGTCAGGAGATTGAGACCATCCTGGCTAACAGGTGAAACCCCGTCTCTACTAAAAACACAAAAACGTTAGCCGGGTGTGGTTGCGGGTGCCTGTAGTCCCAGCTACTTGGCAGGCTGAGGCAGGAGAATGGCGTGAACCCGGGAGGCGGAGCTTGCAGTGAGCCGAGATTGCACCACTGCACTCCAGCCTGGGCGACAGAGCAAGACTCTGTCTCAAAAAAAAAAAAAAAAAAAAAGATTCAGGACAACAAAAATTAGAATTTCTTATTATTTTATCAAGGACACTCTTTTTTCTTCCTGCAAGTGTGTGGTGGTGAAGAATATAATAATTGCTAGTACAGTTGGCACCATGGCATTGATTTGTGCTAAACTGCAGTTTTATCCAGCATTGTTTTTGTATCAACAGTGCAAATATCTACGCGGTGAAAAAGGCCAATAACATCTTAGTATTATTACAAAAATAACTTTGACCTTGCAGACTCTCTGAAAAGTTTTCAAAGACCTTGAAGGGTTCATGGACTACCCTTTGACGACATCTGTTTTAGGACATGTCTTTTGCTGATTTATGGCTAAGTCATATAAATTTTCCCTAAAAGTTCTGTATCTATTGTTCCCTTGGTTTCTTATATTTAGTATTACAAAAAAGATTAAAATCAAACATAATTTGTTTTCTTTATAGCTCACCTGTTTAGGTACTTAGGTCATTTTTCTTTATTTTTGTAATTAACAATCTTTGCCAGAGTATGTCTATATGGGTCTATTTGACTTTTCTTCAATATGATGATCACTTTTGGTTTTAATGCTTTTACCCAGCTCTAAAAACTTTCGATTTTGACTTTTTTTTTTTTTTTTTTTTTGAGACAGGATCTCGCTCTGTCGCCCAGGCTGGAGTTTAGTGGCATGATCTCAGCTGACTGCAACCTCCGCCTCTCGGGTTCAAGCGATTCTCCCACCTCAACCTCCCGATTAGCTGGGATTACAGGTGCATGCCACCATGCCTGGCTAATTTTTGTATTTTAAGTAGAGACAGGGTTTCATCATGTTGGCCAGGCTGGTCTCGAATTCCTGGTCTCAAGTGATCCACCCATCTTAGCCTCCCAAAATGCTGGGATTACAGGTGTGAGCCACTATGCCCGGCTTCAATTTTGACTTTTTTCCCCCCATTTTTCATCCCTCTCTTAGGAACAGCTGTAATTCTTGAGTTATTAATGAATTTGTTTTGTCTGCTATTGCTACCATCTTTTTCTCTTTATTTCATCCTTTCTCATCTTTTTCCCACAGTTTAGGAGATTTCCTCGTTTTGCCTCCTACATCATTCATTGATTGCATTTTCTGTGATGTCCACGCTCTGCTTTACTGTCTTTGCATCTTTTGGTTGTAATGGCTATTTTGATTTCCTTGCAGTTCCCCCATATCGTACCTAACTCCCTTTTCGTTTCTCTTGTGCTGTTTGTATTTTATTCTGCTGTCCTTTTATCTCTCTTATTCCCTCTTTATAACTTTTTGCTCCCTGTTTGTGGAGGACATGACCTCTTACCTCCTAGTGATTATCAAACCCAGTAGAAAATATAGATTTTCTTTGACTCAATCACTGCTAATTTTTGGACTACCTGAGCACCTTGTTGGAGCTCTAGCTGTTTGACAAGTTGTGTGCAGAGCTACTAACCCTGTTCTCTAGGTCTGTTACATATTCCCCTAGAGCAGTTTTGACACACTAAGATGAGATCTTCTAACTTCCAATGCATGGTTTTCTGAACCAATAGGTTTGGGGAGAATGTATCTTTCTATCACTTGGTGAATTGGGGGAGCTTCATTAGCATAACTTTCCTGTCTTCTCTCTACTTCCCCACTCTTAGCTTCCTGGGGAGAGGAGTAAGGGTTACCTGAGTGGTGAGTTTAAGAAAATGGGCCTGGGTAACCTAATCTCTTCCTCCAGGAAGCTGGTTTGCCTGTAGAAAGTAGAATCTTCTGATAGTTATCATCCGTGAAGGAAGATATCCAGAGGCAAACGTTGCCTCTATAGTACGGAGGCTTGCATTTCAGATGTGTAACCTCAAAAACCTCAGCACCTGAAATGTTGGGCTGTGAACCCTGGTAAGTAAATAGGGAGTTAAATTTTGGATGGCAAAATGTACACACAAAGGGGCATTGAGTTATGTAAGGTGTGTAGCTTTGAGCTTTAGACTTCAGAGTGTTTAACATGTCTTGACTTTGGCATCTTAAAGAAGTTATATTAAGCCAAGTGGGTTTTTACTGTTTTGTAGATAGCTTTTAACTTCTCAGGAGACTTTAAGTCTTAAGCCACCTCATATTTTGACCTTGGCAGGCAGCTGTAGTTTATGTGAGGACTTTGCAGCTTGTTCTTTTACAAAAAGGCAAAGCTGCACACACTGGGCCTTAGAGAAGATGTGGTCCCTAGCAAAACAGTACACCCCTCAAGAAGCCTCTTCATAGGCCTCAAGTGGCTTTGTAGTGCACACCGTGATTTTATGCTGAAGCTTTAACTGTGGCACTGGTCTTACTTCACATGTGTGAACTTCTTGGAAACTTCAGCAGACACTGGGGGATATAGAGGACTTAGTGAGCAGGCAGAGCTAAGGCAAGAATTCAAATTCTGGGGGAAAACAAACAACTATTTCAACATGTAATTATTTTAGGAACTGGTGGGCAAAAAAATGTTTACTGCTGTTAAAATCCAAGCCAGTTGAATCCATGTGAGCTACAAAGCATTTGTAAGAATTAAGTTTTAAATTATTACTGCCACAAGGAATCTTCTGTTTTATGGTAATGTTCTTTATCTTGATCTATGTGCTGGCGACTTGGATGCATTCACTTTGTGAAAATGTGTTGAGCTGTGCACTCGATTTGTGTACCTGTCCATTTGAATGTCTTACTTCTAAAAAAGTTTGTATAAAAAACAATTAGTGCCAAGCCTATGTAAATAGCATTAGATTCCCTGACCAAAATCCATCCTGTATTTTAATTAAGGCTGGGCGCAATGGCTCATGCCTGTAATCCCAGCACTTTGGGAGGCTGACGTGGGTGGATCACTTGAGCACAGGACTTGGAAACCAGCCTGGGCAACATAGCCAGACTCTGTCTCTAAAAAGAAAAAATTAGCCTGGCATGGTGGTATGCACCTGTGGTCCCAGCTACTCAGGTAAGGTAGGAGGATTGCTTGAGCCTGGGAAGTTGAGGCTATGGTGAGGAGTAATGGCGCCATGGCATTCCAGCCTGGGAGACACAGTGAGAGCCCTGTCTCAAAAACAAAAAACAAACAATCAAAAAAAGCCCCAAAATCTAAAAATTAATTTAAAAAGTATATTTTAACTAAATGTTTTATTGCAGGCTGGGCATGGTGGCTCACACCTGTAATCCCAGTACTTTGAGAGGCTGAGGTGGCCAGATCACTTGAGGGCAGGAGTTCTAGACCAGCCTGGCCAACATAGTGAAACACTGTCTCTACTAAAAATACAAAAATTAGCTGAGTATGGTGGTGGGCACCTGTAATCCCAGCTGCTTGGGAGGCTGAGGCAGGAGAATTGCTTGAGCCTGGGAGGCGGAGGTTGCAGTGGGCCAAGATCGTGCCACTGCATTCCAGCTTGGGTGACAGAGCAAGACTCCATCTCAAAAAAAAAAAGTCTTATTGCTCAACGACTGTTAATCAGATATTCTCTTAGTGAAGGCAAATATATCCTAATGCATTGTTCATTTCATCTAAGTTTACTAACATAAAGTTCTTCATAATAGTTTCCTATCCTTTAAAACTCTATGCCCCACTTTCCACTCATTGTTCTTTATATGTAAACTTATTTATTAAGCATTTATTTATTATCAATCTTGCCATACGTTTGCCTATTTTAATGCCTGTTTTGTTGTTATGCACCCCTCTATGATGTCATTTCTCCTCTATTTCATCCATTTCTATTTTTGCTTTTATTATTTCCTTTGTTATACTTACTCTCAATTTGTTCTGGTTTTTAAGATTGTCTCTTTTCTCATTTGCTGTTAAATTGTAATATGTCTCTGTTGGATTTATTTTTATTTATCCTCTCTGAATTTTGTTAGGCTTTCCGGATATGAGGATTGGTATCTCTCAACAACCCTGGAAGATTCTCAGCCATTTTATCTTCAAATGTTGCTTCATCTTCGTTCTTAATGTTACCTCCTTCTGGAGCTCCACTGAGGTAGGTTAGAACTTTTTATCCTGTCTTCCATGTCTCTTAACCACCTTTCATTCATATTTTCCATATTTGAATCCACAGACTGAATCCTAATAAATTCTTCTTTTTTTTTTGCCCAAATCAAAAATGGTCAATATCTAATAAATTCTTTAGGTCTGTTTTTTAGTACATTGGTTCTTTTTTCAGTTGTGTCTAATCTACTCTTTAGTCAGTCCATTGACTAATATAAAATTATATATTTTTCATTTCTAGAAGTTCTGCTTTGTTCTTTTTAAAATCTACTTGGCTCTTCTTGTTTATAGTTTCTTATTTCCTGCTCATAGTTTCTTTTTTCTGCCTTTATTTCCTGAAATACACTAAACATATTCCTTTTAGATTCTATGACTGGGAAATCTGGCATAAGGAGTCCTTGCATTTCTGCTTCTCCTGTCTATTGGTTCATTGGGTCTGACTCATGATGTCTTGCCTTTAGAGATTTTGTGATTCTTCTTTTTATTTATTTATTTATTTTTTTTGAGATGGAGTCTTGCTCTGTCGCCTAGGCTGGAGTGCAGTGGTGCAATCTCGGCTCACTGCAATCTCCATCTCCTGGATTCAAGTGATTCTCCAGCTTCAGCCTCCCGAATAGCTGGGATTACAGGAGCCTGCCACGATGCCCGGCTAATTTTTGTATTTTTAGTAGAGACAGGGTTTTGCCATGTTGGCCACGCTGGTCTCGAACTCCTGACCTCAGGTGATCCGCCCACCTCGGCCTCCCAAAGTGCTGGGATTACAGGCGTTAGCCACCGCACCTGGCTGGTATTTTGTGATTCTTAATGTAAACTATTATTTTCCTTGAAATTTATCCTTAGTAATTCTTTGAGACCTGGGTTGAAAATAAGCTCTTCCTAAGACATTTTGTATTTGTTTCTACAGGTTGTTAAATATCCACTTGAAATTTTTCTGACCATGCAGGCAGCATAAATTCAGACCAAAAACCTTTATGAGGTCTAGTATATTAGTTATTTATTATATAACAAATTACATAAAATTTAGTAGCTTAAATTTTTATCTTTACATAATCTTTGTAGATTATCTTTTGTAATCTTTGTAGATTTATCTTTACATAATCTTTGTAGAAAATGAGAGTAGCTTAGCTGGGTGGTTCTAGCTCAGGGTCTCAACTGAGGTTACATTAAAGATGTCAGTTGGGACTGCAGTCATCTAAAGGTTTAACTTAACTGGGGCTGGGGGGTATACATTCAAGGGGGCTCAGTCCTGGGCCTGGCAAGGTAATGCTGGTTGCTAGGAAAAGGCCTCTGTTCCTTGTCTGTCTACAGGCCAGCTTGAATGTCTTCATGACATGGCAGCTGATTTCCCCCAGAGAGAGTGTTCCAACAGAGTAAAAAGTAGAAGTCTCAATATTTTATATCCTAGCCCTTAGAAGTCACATCTAGTAATTTCTGCAATATTTTATTAGCTGCACAGATCAGCCCTATTCAATGTACAAGGTAAGTGTATGCAAGAAGTGAATGCTAGCAGGCAGAGGTCACTGAAACCATCTTAGATCCTGGGTACCACAGATGGCTTATTGTTGTAAATTACCCATGGAGATTTTCTCCTCATTCTGTCTAGTACTAAGGTCAAATCAGTTGTCACCCGACTTTTTTACAATAGGATTTTATTTTTGTTTACTTTTATACTGGGGTATATTCATTTGGATCCTAACTGTAAGTAGCTATCTCCCATTAAATTCTCCACTGGGGCTGGGTGCGGTGGCTCACGCCTGTAATCCCAGCACTTTGGGAGGCCGAGGTGGGTGGATCACCTGAGCTCAGGAGTTCAAGAACAGCCTGACCAACATGGTGAAACCCTGTCTCTACTAAAAATACAAAAAAGTAGCCAGGCGTGGTGGCAGGCGCCTGTAATCCCAGCTACTTGCGAGGCTGAGGTGGGAGAATCGCTTGAACCTGGGAGGCAGAGGTTGCAGTGAGCCGAGATCAAGCCATTGCACTCCAGCATGGGCAACAAGAGCAAAACTCAGTCTCAAAAAAAAAAACAAAAACAAAAACAAAAGACAAACAAACAAAAAACATATTCTCCACTGAGGAAGGTCCCTAGGCCTATTTCCTGAAACCCTGTAATCCATGGAAATCAAGACCTCAGAGTTGTTTAGACAACCTCAGAGTGGATGTAAGAGCATTTAGCTTCCAGAACCCCTGCTTGCAAGTCATAGTGGGAATTTGGAGATTCATGCCAGCCCATCAATACATTTTAAAATGTTATTTTTATTGAAAAAAAAGTGTTTACTGAGAATTTTCATTGTTTTATTTATTATTTTAGTTTTTGAGACAGGGTCTCGCTCTGTCACCCAGGCTGGAGTGCAATGGCACCATCTTGGCTCACTGCAAATTCTGCCTCCCGGGCTCAAGCAATTCTCCCACCTCAGCCTCCTGAGTAGCTGGGACTACAGACACGCCACCACCATGCCCGGTCAATTTTTGTATTTTTTGTAGAGACGGGGTTTCACCGTGTTATCCAGGCTAGTCTTGAATTCCCGGACTCAAGTGATCCTCTGGCCTCAGCCTCCCAAAGGGCTGGGACTATAGGCATAAGCCACCACGCCCAGCCAGAATTTTAATTGTTTTAATCAGATTTGTCAAATAAATTATCCATCATATGACAGAAATAGAATTCAATTAAAACGTTTTCCTTGAATTTGCACGACTTGCACTATTATTACAGGTTCTGCACTATTATTACAGTATTTCTAACTTTTAGAAGGGAATTCTTACCACTTTTAACTCCAATCTAGCCTCTGCTGTACTATAAACATTTAAGACTATTAATGTTCCTTTTGGTACTGTTTCAGTGACTTCTTACAAATTTTGGAATGTAAGTATTTTATTATTACATTCAGTTCTAAATATATTATAATTCCCCATTATGTTTCCTTCTTTGGTTCATGAATTGTTAAAAAAAATATATATATATATGTTTTATAGGCCAGGCGCGGTGGCTCACGCCTGTAATCCCAGCACTTTGGGAGGCCGAGACGGGTGGATCATGAGGTCAGGAGTTCAAGACCAGCCTGGCCAAGATGCCGAAACCCCATCGCTACTTAAAAATACAAAAAAAATTAGCCAGGCATGGTGGCACATGCCTGTAATCCCAGCTACTCAGGAGGCTGAGGCAGGAGAATCTCTTGAACCCAGGCAGCAGAGGTTGCAGTGAGCCGAGATGGAGCCACTGCACTCCAGCCTGGGCGACAGAGCAAGACTCCGTCTGAAAAAAAAAAATATGTATATATATATTTTATAAATAATTTTGAACACTTAATTTTTGGTTAGTTGATATATTCATAATATTGAAAAATGAAAAATATAAGATGGTATTCAGTGAAAAGTTTCACTACTACTACTGATCCCATCCACGTGGTTTCACATACTTCCTCCAATAAAGCGCCCATTGTTAAATTTTTTGTGTATATTTCCAGATAATTTATATGTATGGAAATATAAATATATACTTCCCCCCTTTACATAAATGGTGCCATATGTTAAACAATATTCAATACTTTGAATTATTTACTTCAAGTGTGTATCTTGGAACTCTTTCCATGAGTTCATAGAGAGACTTGTATTTATGTTTTCTAAATATCTGCATTTGAAAATTATCTTTTTGTTATTGATTTCTACTTTTATCTCATTAGGATCAGGAAATGTGGCCCACACTATAGTAATTTTTTGGTATTTGTTTATTCTTGCTTCCTAGCTTGGTATGTGCAGGGATGATTATTGTTAAAGTATCCCCATTGAACTCACTTGTTTAATTTTGGATTTTGGAGAATGATGGTAGGTTATAAAATTTATCAGGGAAGCACTCCTATTATAGTTATTCTTCCAGATGTAGTATTTCTTTCTCTCTAACATTATATAATATAATCCAAAGAAATTTTGATGGTCCTGACATCTTGTGATCATCATAGTAGTCTAAATATAGGCTGGGAGTGGTAGCTCATGCCTGTAATCCCAGCACTTTGGGAGGCCGAGATGGGAGGATCACTTCAGCAGGAGTTCAAGACCAGCTTGAGCACAGGAGTTTGAGACCAGACTGGGCAACATAGGGACACCCTGTCTCTACGGAAAAAAATAATAATAATTAAAAAATTAGCCAGGCACAGTGGCCTGTGCCTGTGGCCCCAGCTATTTGGGCAGCCGAAGTGAGAGGATCACCTGAGCCTAGCAGATCCAGGCTGCAGTGAGCCATGATGGCACCACTGCACTCCAGCCCGGGTGACAGAATGATACCTTGTCTGTAAAAAATAAATAAACAAAATAAATAAATAGATATAGTATGCTGTTTGCACCTATTCAGCTAGAAGTACCAAGTACTTAAATGCTTTTAGAGAGACTTTCACTTCTGAACATGGAAGTATAACAAAGACCACATTTACCCTCCCACCTTCAACAACTAAAAACACAGACAAAAGACAAGAAACAATAGTTTTTCTAAAATGGACAACAGCCATGCAAAAAAATGTTGGTCCCTTTGAGTGAAAAAATGTGAAAAATGGCTTACCCAGCCTCATAGCTGGAGGTGTTTTCTAGACCTCCGCACAGTGAGGAGGAGCCCACATGGAGCTCAGGGTCTCCTTGAGTTGAGAAGCTACAGCTGAGAATTTGAAGAGGTGAAGGCATCTAGAATTCACAGGGCAAACTATTGGAGAGAGCTGCAGAGACCTACAAAGGGTTTCCTTTTAGTCTTCAGTTGAGTACTGATTAGCACGTGGGTGTGAAAAAACTGACAGGGACCAAAGAAAGAACCACTGGACAGAATCGGGCAGAATGATTATCAGAAATTACACAAGGTTGAGAATAGTCCATATTCCCCACAATCAAAGTGGAGCAACTTTACAATACACAGGGCTAGGGTAGAGTACTAAGAAGGACTGTCTCAGTAGTGAAGTCAATTTCACTGCAGAATAAAGGCTGCTCTAATTTCACTTAAAAAACTAAAAACTGGCCAGGCATGATGGCTCATGCCTGTAATCCCAGCAGTTTGGGAAGCCAAGGTTGGAGGGTCACTTGAGCTTAGGAGTTCAAGACCAGCCTTGGCAATATAGTGAGACCCCATTTCATAAAAACAAACAAACAAACAAACAAAAACCTGAAAAGCGATCATTGAAATGACCAATATGTTTGCAAATAATAGCATCCCAGAATGAATACAATAACATTTTAAAACTACAAAAAAATTCAGCACCCATGAATATAAAATTCAGTTTGTCATCCAATAAAAAATTATCAAGCATGCAAAAACAGCCCATAATGAGGAGAAAAATAAGTCAGTAGAAACAGACTCAGAAATGACACAAATGATTGGCATTAAACTAGCTATCATAGGCCAGGTGAGGTGGCTCACATCTGTAATCCCAATGCTTGGGGAGGCTGAGGCTGAAGAATTGCTTAAGGCCAGGAGTTCAAGACCAGCCTGGGCAACACAGCAAGACCCCATCTCTACAAAAAAATTTTTTTAATTGGCCAGGCATGATGGCATACACCTGTAATCTTAGCTGCTTACCTAAGCAGGAGGCTCATGTGAGCCCAGGAGTTTGAGGCTGCAGTGAGCTATGATTACATCACTGCATTCAAGTCTGTACAACAGAGCAAGACTCTGTCCCTAAAAATATAAAATAACTATCATAAATATATTCCATGTTTTCAAGAAGGAATTAAGAGCATGCTGAAACACATGGAAGGTTTTTTTAAAAAAAAAAATCCTTATAGAACTTACAGCAATATACTGGATGGGATTTGTATTATTAGTCTACTAGGGGTGGCATAACATAATACTATGGACTGAGTGGCCTAAACAAAAGAAGTTTATATTTATTTATTTATTTTTTTTCTTGAGACAGGATCTCACTCTGTCATCCAGGCTGGAGTGCAGTGGTGCAATCATGGTTCATGGCAGCCTCGACTTCCTGGGCTCCAGAGATCCTCCCATCTCAGTCTCCTGAGTATCTGGGACCACAAGCACGTGCCATCATGCTTGGCTAATTTTTGTATTTTTGGTAGAGATGGGGTTTTGCCATGTTGCCCAAGCTGGTCTTGAACTCTTGAGCTCAAGCAATCCACCTGCCTCGGCCTCCCAAAGTGCTGAGATTACAGGCATGAGCCACTGCACCTGGCCAGAAGTTTGTTTTCTCACAGTTTTGGATGTTGGAAGTCCAAGATCAAGGTGCCAGGGTTGGTTTATCATGAGGCTTCTATCCTGGGCTTGTGGACTGCCAACTTCTTGCTGTGTCCTCACATAGTTGTTTATCTGGGTGCACACACACAGAGGTGTCTCCTTCTCTTCTCATAAGGACATCAGTCCTATTTGATTAGGGTGTACCCTTCTGACTTCTTGCAAACTTCATAGCCTCTATAAAGATCCTTTCTCCAAATACAGTCTCATGGGGAGTTAGAGCTTCAACATATGGACTTTGGGAGCCACAATTCAGCTTATAGCAGGATTAATAGCCGATTAGACACTACAGAAAAAAAAATGATTGCAGAATTTGAAGGCATGGGAACTATACAAAGTAAAACATGCAGAAGGAAATAGATCACAGAAAAAGGTACACAGAACATTGGTGAGATGTGTGAAAACTTCAACTGGCCTAACATGCACATAATTGGAGTCCCAGAAAAAGTGAGGGATAGGCAGAAAAAATATTTGAAAGACTAATAGATAAAAATTTTCTAAATAGGCCAGGAATGGTGGCTCATGCCTGTAATCCCAGCACTTTGGAAAGCTGAGGCAGGCAGATCATTTGAGGCCAAGAGTTTGAGACTAGCCTGGCCAACATGGCAAAACCCTGTCTCTACTAAAAATACAAAAAATTAGCCAGGCATGGTGGCATGCACCTGTAGTCCCAGCTATGTGGGCAGCTGAGAAAGGAGAATTGCTTGAACCTGGGAGGTGGAGGCTGCAGTGAGCTGAGATCACACCACTGCACTCCAACCTGGGTGACAGAATGAGACTCTGTCTCAAAAAAAAAAAAATTCTAAGTTGATGAAAAGTATAAATCAATGGATCTAAGAAGATCAATGAACCCCAAGCTCAACTAACATCAACAAAACTAGCATGCCAGTATGCCATATTCAAATTGCTTAGAACTACTTATAAGAAGAAAAATTTTAAACTTAAAATCAGCCAAAGGAAAAAAGAGATCTTATGTACAGAATGTAAAAAATAGCAAAAGATTTTTGCTGCAAGTAATGCAAGCCTAGAAGACAGTGAAGCAATATACTTAAAGTACTAGAAGACAATTGTCAATCTAGAATTCTATTCCCAGAGAAAAATTTTCAAAAACATAGGACACAAGTTTTTCAGCATGCAAAAGCTGGAAGAATTTAACCAGCACACTTGAACAATAAGAATGTTGAAAGAGGGCAGGAGGCGGGCAGTGCAGAGTGCGAGGTTGTTTTGTTCGGCTGACGGGAGGGCCCTTGGCCAGGACCTGCAGTAGGCCACTTCAGGGAGGGGCTCCACTGTGGCCACCCAGCTTGCTGCTTTCCTGGGTGCCACTCCCTCTGCCGACCCAATGCAATGGGCCAGTAGCATGGCACTGATTCCTCTTGGACTCTTGGGCACTGCTCTGAGTAGTGTCACCCTTTACACCAGAAAGCTAGCAGGCACTATGAGGAAAAAACAAAACAAGAAGAAAGTGGAGGAGGCTCTAGAAGTGGAGGAAGAGAAATATGTGGTGGAAAAAGTTCTTGACTGTGGAGGGGTAAAGGGCAAAGTGGAGTAGCTCCTAAAGTGGAAGGGGTTCTCAATGAGGACCACACATGGGAACCAGAAGAGAACCTGGATTGCCCTGACCTCATTGCTGAGTTTCTGCAGTCATAGAAAACAACACATGAGACAGATAAATCAGAGGGAGGCAAGCGCAAAGCTGATGATTTGAAGATAAGGTGTTGCGGGAATTAAAGGGACAGGAGAGACCAATGGGTGGCTCAGGAGGATTTATGTAGGTGCTCCGGCTCAGCAGATTAACCTCCAAAGGTTGAGCCCCAAACAAAGACAGGGCTTGACTTTTATACATGCAACCAAAAGGGGTTGGCCAGCTAGTGGTGCAAAACCTGCAGGGTGGCAAGCAAGCTTACAGAAGCAGAACAAAGGCAGTTTATCAAACAGAGACAGGTGTTGCAACTCAGGCACGTCTTGTGACCTTTACCATACTGCACAGATGGGAAAACAGGAACTTACAAAATCCTTACCAACTTGCAGAAATAGTTACAAAGATAGTTAGGAGAGCAGAACAAAGAATAATGGTATGGGGAGATAATTTTAAAAAGGGGAAACTGATAAGAACTTGTTTTTCTCATCCCTGCTCCTGGAGCCCATTCCTTCTGGGCCCCGGCTCTGCTGATAGCACTATGAGAGCCCTCACAGAGCCTTGCTTATTGCTGGGCCTTGGAGTGAGTCAGCCTGTACAGAAAACTTGTTTTCTTCTCTCTCTCTCTCTTTTTTTTTTTTTTTTTTTTTTTTTTACATCTCCTGCTTCATAGGGAGAGGAGGGCAAACCAAAGAAGAAGAAAGAAGAGTCAGAAAAGCCATGAGGCTTTGCTGGGGGTTTGGCGCCAGAGCAGATTATTGGAGCTACATACTCCAGTGGAGAGCTCATGATCCCGATGACATGGAAAAACTCTGATGAGGCTGACCTGTTTCCTGGCAAGGAAGCCAGCATCAAGTGCCCACAGGTTGTCATATCTTTCTATGAGGAAAGGCATTCCTACCCCAAGAAGGAGGATGAGAAAAAAGATGACAAGAATTGACTCTCCTGAGTACCAGCCCCTGTCACATCTGAATGTGGGTTTCCAGTGGGAAGGGAAGGAGTTCTACTTGTCTTGACAGCATAGAGGTGGCTTGAGAAGATGTCCTTTGAAGAGCCAGTATAGTTTCTGTGCCCTGCAGCAGCCCAAGTGCTTTAAAGCCATTCCAAGCTCTAGAATTTGCACACCCATCCCAGTGGAGGGGAAGGGGGATAAGTGTTTCAAGGCAACCTTTTCTTCATTTTGCTGAGAAAAGCAAAGGGCCTTCTATGAAGGACAAAACTTGCAGAGTTGGGTGTGTGGGAGAGCAAACAAAAATACTGTAGATCTTCAAAGAGCATCTCCACAACACACAGCCTACCTCCCAATAGTGTCAACTGCATTTTTACAGCATAGCATGTGTGTAGTTTTTGGCTATTACTGGTGTATTATTTGGGGAGGGAGGGATGGAGAGAGGAGGAAGGGAGATGGGTAGCATCATTTTGATTAAAATTTGGGGCTTGATAGGGGAAATGGTGAAGCAATGGAAAGAACAGACAACTAATGATTTCCTTCTATGTCTAGAATATTTTACCTTTGAAAGAAATGTCATTAGCATCATAAATAAGGACTATAATTAAAAGCTGTGAATGCCTAGGCCCAGGGCGGGTCACCAGGCAGGGGGCTGGAGCGTGACCCGCAGCCTGCAGGACCTCATGCCACCCGAAGGGCTGAGCCTGACCCCATGAGGGTGTCCTGTCCCCTGACAGGGCCAGTGCAGTTTGGTGTGTTCCTCCGCCTCACCAGAAGACCCTGAAGAATTATTTTTCATTATTGATTTTCCAATCATTTGACTAATAGTCTCTATTTAAATAAAGTTTTTAAAATGAAAAAAAAAGCCATGAATGTCTGAAACCTATATAAGCCAAGGTGTTCCCTGCCTAAACCTAATGCTGTTCCCCACAAAGGATAAGCTAGTTGATAAGTTACCAAAGTTGCCATTTTAGAGATGGAAATTGACTGAGGAGGGAAGGTCTTTTATTGGAGAGTATATAGTATGAGCAGATCATTCTGTCTCAGAGGGGTTAATTCCTGAAATTAGACAGAAGACCCTTTTCTTTCCAATAATGAAGTTATAAATATCAGCTTGTTGAAGCCACTGGCTGAGGTATTGGGGAAGGGGAAGAGGGTGGTAGAGGAGATAAGACAGTAGGGAAAGACAAGAGCCCATACTCTTAGTGGGGAGAACTCTTGGAGCAGTTCTCTTTTTGGATCTTTGAACTCTGAAACCGTTGGCGGCAGCGTTCAGTCACTGACAGCACAAGTTCCACTGAATTGATTCGAGTTGAGTGATTTCAAAAGCCTTGGTCTCAGGAGATTTAACTTTCCTACTGGGCAGTGGTTCACTTTAAAACACAAAAAAACAAATAAAACCTTTTTTTTTGTTTTGTTTTAGATGGAGTCTTGCTCTGTTGCCAGGCTGGAGTGCAGTGGCATGATCTTGGCTCACTGCAACCTCTGCCTCCTGGGTTCAAGCAATTCTCCTGCCTCAGCCTCCTGAGTAGCTGGGACTACAGGTGCCCGCCACCACGCCTGGCTAATTTTTGTGTTTTTAGTAGAGATGAGGTTTCACCATTGTTGGCCAGGATGGTCTCGATCTCTTGACCTCGTGACCTGCCCGCTTCAGCCTCCCAAAGTGCTGGGATTACAGGCGTGAGCCACCGCACCCAGCCAACAAAACCATTTTTTTTTTTTTTTTTTTTTTTTTTTTTAAGACGGAGTCTCGCTCTGTCGCCCAGGCTGGAGTGCAGTGGCACAATCTTGGCTCACTGCAAGCTCCGCCTCCGGGGTTCACGCCATTCTCCTGCCTCAGCCTCCCAAGTAGCTGGGACTACAGGCGCCCGCTACCACGCCCGGCTAATTTTTTGTATTTTTAGTAGAGATGGGGTTTCACCGTGTTAGCCAGGATGGTCTCGATCTCCTGACCTCGTGATCCGCCCGCCTCGGCCTCCCAAAGTGCTGGGATTACAGGCGTGAGCCACTGCGCCCGGCCAACAAAACCATTTTTTAAGAAATCCTAAGAAGTAACTGATACCTAAAATGCTCTGTCTTGAGTCATGAGATCCATCAGTTCTTGATATTGCCTAGACTTGCATCTAGAACTACATTGTAAAATCTTTTTAGGCATGTGTTAGATTTCTGTGAAAACTTTTTTTAAATGTAAACTTCATACCACGCTGTCAGTTTTTGTCTTAATAAAACTATAGGTTTATTAAAAGAAAAAAAAAAGAATGTGAAAGAGCCCAGGCATGGTGGCTCCCACCTGTAATCTCAGAGTTTTGGGAGGCTGAGGTGGGTGGGTCGCTTGGGCCCTGGAATTCAAGACCAGCCTGGGCAACATGGTGAAACCTCGTCTCTACATAAAATACAAAAATTATCCAGGCAAGGCATGGTGTTGCACACGTGTAGTTCCAGCTACTTTGGAGGCTGAGGTAGGAGGATCATCCGAGCCCAGGAAGGTCAAGGCTGGAGTGAGCCATGATCACATCACTGCACTCCAGCCTGGGTGACAGAGTGAGACCCTGTCTCAAAAAAAAAAAAAAAAAAAAAAAAAAAAAAAAGAATTTGAAAAAAGTCACCAGGTAGAAGCAATATATTGTGGGACAAAAATCTGAATCTGGCTGGGTGTGGTGGCTCATGCCTGTAATCCCAGCACTTTGGGAGGCTAAGGCGGGTGGATTCACAAGTTCGAATCCGAGCTGGCCAACATGGTGAAACCCCATCTCTACTAAAAATACAACAATTAGCTGGGCATGGTGGTGCACACCTGTAATCCCAGCTACTGGGGAGGCTGAGGCAGGGGAATTGCCTGAACCCGGGAGGTGGAGGTTGCGGTGAGCTGAGATCACACCACTGCACTCCAGCCTGGGTAAGAGTGCAAGACTCTGTCTCAAAAAAAAAAAAGAAAAATCTGAATCTACCCCCAAAACATGAAGAGCACTGGAAATGGTAAATATGTGGGCAAATATAAAATAATTTTAAAACTTATTTTTACAATTTTTAAAAAAGGTGGGGCCAGGCATGGTGGCTCACGCCTGTAATCCCAGCACTTTGGGATGCCGAGGGCAAATCATGCGGTCAGGAGTTCGAGACCAGCCAGCCTGGCCAACATGGTGAAACCCTGTCTCTACTAAAAATACAAAAATTAGCTGGGTATGGTGGTGCATGCCTGTAATCATAGCTACAAGAGAGGCTGAGGCAGGAGAATCACTTGAATCCAGGAGGAAGTTGCAGTGAGCCAAGATGGTGCAACTGTACTCTAGCCTGGGTGACAGAGCAAGACTCAGTATCCAAAAAAAAAAAAGGTAACTGAGTATGAAATTAAAAATAACAAACTGAAATGTGGATCTTATAACATGTACAGACATTATATGACAGCAATAGGGCAAAAGCCAAGAGAGGAGAAATAGAAAAGTACACTGCCATGTGTTCTTATACTATTTGTGAAATAGTATAATTTTACTTCAGAGTAGACAATGGTAAGTAGAAGGTGTATACTAAAGACCATAAAGCAGCCACTAAAAACAAAACAAAAAAACAAGGAGAAAACTCAAAGTAGTATAGCTTATAAGGCAATGAAAAGGATAAAATGGAAGCATAAAAAACAATCTAAAAGAAGACAAAAAAAAGAGAGACAGAGAGAGAACAAAGAATAGATAGAACAAATGGAAAGAAAATAGAGCGAGTAGCTTTACATTTTACAATATTAATAAACACTTTCAAATTAAATCTTCTAAAAAACAAAATTAAGTCAGCTGGGTGTGGTGGCTCACGCCTGTAATCCCAGCACTTTGGGAGGCCGAGGCAGGTGGATCACCTGAGGTTGGGAGTTCAAGGCCAGCCTGACCAACATGGAGAAACACTGTCTCTGCTAAAAATACAAAATTAGCCAGGCGTGGTGGTGCATGCCTGTAATCCCAGCTACTCAGGACTGAGGCAGGAGAATCGCTTGAAGCCAGGAGGCGGAGGTTGCAGTGAGCCGAGATCACACTATTGCACTCCAGTCTGGGCAACAAGAGCAAAACTCCATCTTGAAAAAATAATAATAATAATAAAATAAATAAATAAGTCAAATTAAATCCTCTAAACATCCTGATTAAAAAGCAGAGTTTATCAAATTGGATTAAAAAGGATGATCCAATTACATACTGTCTACTTTCAAGAAACTCTATTTATTTATTCATTTATTTTAATAACATCAACAGGGAAGAAGGAAACTCATTTTAAAATAAAGACACAATCAACCCTGTGTGAAAACTTGAAAAAATAAAATAAAGGCACAAATAGAATAAAAGTAGAAGAATATAAAATAATACAACATAGTAACAAAAAACAAATGAAAGCTGGAGATCTTTCCAACTTTCAGAATGGTAGACTAAGGACTTCCAAAAATTTGCTACTCTATAAAAGCAATAAGATCTTCAAAACCCATCAGAATTAATTTTTTTAATTTTTTAGACTCTAGAAATTAAACAGAAGTTTGCAGCAATGTGAGCAGTGTTTAGTCAAGAAAAATGACTGAATCTTGGTAAGAACTATGAGATTTGGTTTTTAAGCTTTTCCTAATTCTAACTCCTCTTCAAAGTAGCATTAAAAACCAATAGCCACACTATTACAATAGCTATGAAAAGCAGCAGACTAGCATCTACTGGAGGGGGAAGAATGGACTTGGAGCTCCAGGAAAGCCTCAATCCCAGAGGACTGTCATTATTTGACTTGTCTGGCAGCTCAATGAAAAGTTCCATTCTCAGAGCTTGTCTTTATTGGTCTAAATATTGGTCACAGCTCAGTCTCTCTGCATAGTCCTATCCATGTGACATTTATTGAAAACAATCATTGGCAGTTGTTTAACATCAAAGCTGCCAGAGGTGTTGTTAACAGTTGGGGATAAAAAGATGCTGATGAAAAACTTAAAAGGAAAAAAAAACTGAAGAATAAGATGTCCATTGGGAGATTTGGAAAGCTCTGATACAGTCCTAGGAATCTATAAGGCCATGCACATGATGTGTGCATGCCCAGAAAAGACCTGAGAAGACCCCAATGTCTTACCTCTGGCCAACCTTAAGGCTTTTCCTAAGCAAGAAATGAAGGCTAAAGAGAGATGTAAACTGCTTGAGAGAGAATCGAAACTATACCCCAATACCGAGTGAATCAACAAAATTTGGAAGACTTATTTATTCAAGATAGTTTAGGAAATCTGTGTTCAATCATTAACTGGCCATTAAGCTAATTGAACAGAGACTTTACATTACAAAGAATACAGACTTTACAGAATTAGTCCAGGAAAGTCACTAAACAAAATAATAGCAACAACTAGCAACAATAACAAACCCTGCTCCAGAGATCTATTATACAACATGGTGACTGAGGTTAATAACAATGCACTGTATTCTTGAAAATTGCTGAGAATATGCTATAAGTGTACTTACCACAAAAAAAAATCAGTATGTGAGGTAATGCCTATGTGAATGAGCTCTCAATTTAGCCATTCCACAGTGTATACATATTTCAAAACATTTTATACACAATAAATATATATGTCAACTTTTAAAAAATTAATTAATTAAAAAAGGAACAAATAGAAGTTCTGAAGTTGAAAAGTAAAATAACTGAAATGAAAAATCACTGGATAGACTTAACAGCAGATTTCAGCAGAATATGAAAGAATCCAAGAACTTAGCCAGGCACAGTGGCACACACCTCTAGTCCAAACTACCTGGTAGGCTTTAGCAGGAGGATCACTTGAGCCAAGGAGTTTCAGTCCAGCCTGGGCCCCTTAGCAAGACTCTATTGCTCTAAAACAAACAAACAAACAAACAAAAATAAGCCAAACAAAGGATCTGAGAACTTGAAAACAGAATAATTGAGGAGATTACTCATTCTGAGGAACTGAAGGAAAAAGAAAAAAACAAGGGCCTCAGAGATATATGGAAAACCATAAAGTGTGTCAACATACACATAATGGAAGTCTCAGAAGGAAAGACAGAAAAAATGGTCAGAAAGAATATTCAAACGAATAATGGCCAAAACCCTTTCAAATTTGAAAGAAACAAAACAACAACAAACAAAAGTCAGCACATCCAAGAAAATAAACTCCCAGTAGGATAAACTCAAAGGGATCCACACCTTGACATGTCATATAAAAACTTTTAAAAGAGACTGAGAATGTTGTCTCACACCTATAATCTCAGCACATTGGGAGAGCAAGGCAAAAGGATCACTTGAGGCCAGTAGTTTGAAACCAGCCTGGTCAACATAGCAAGACCCCCAACTCTACAAAAAATAAAAATATAAATAAATTAGCTGAGTATGGTGACATATGCCAGTAGTGCTAGCTACTTGGGAGGCTTAGGCATAAGGATCAATTCCAGACTAGAGTGAGTTATGATAGTGCCACTGTACTCCAGCCTGAGCAACAGAGCAAAACCCTATCTTTATTTAAACAAACAAACAAACAAACAAACAAACTGAAATTACCAAAAGACGAAGAGAGTCTTGAAAACAGCAAGAGAAAAGCAACTCATTACATACAAGAGTTCTTAAGTAAAATTAACAGCTGATTTCTCATCAGAAGCCCTGGAAGCCAAGGCCGGGCACAGTGGCTCACACCTTTAATCCCAGAACTTTGGGAGGCCAAGGCAGGTGGATCACCTGAGGTCGGGAGTTTGAGACCAGCCTGACCAACATGGAGAAACCCCATCTTTACTAAAAATACAAAATTAGCGGGGTGTGGTGGCACATGCCTGTAATCCTAGCTACTCGGGAGACTGAGGCAGGAGAATCGCTTGAACCTGGGAGGCGGAGGTTGCAGTGAGCTGAGATTGCGCCATTGCACTCCAGCCAGGACAATAAGTGAAACTCCATCTCAGAAAAAAGAAAAAAGAAACCCTGAAAGCCAGAAAGTCCTGGGATAACATATTCATTGCTAAAAGAAAGACTGTCAATCAAGAGTTCTATATTCAGCAAAACTATCCTGCAAAAATAAAGGAGAAATTAAGATATTTTCAGTTAAAGAAAAACTGAGAGATTTCATCGCCAAATATCTGCCCTATAAGAAATACTAAAGTTCCCTTTAGGCAAAATGGCAGACATATTCTACCTCGTCAGTAATTACACTGAATGTAAACTGACTAAATATTCCAATGAAGGCCGGGCACAGTGGTTCACACCTGTAATCCCAGAACTTTGGGAAGCTGAGGTGAGTGGATCAGCTGAGGTCAGGGGTTCGAAACCAGCCTGGCCAACATGGTGACACCACGTCTCTACTAAAAATACAAAACTAGCTGGGTGTGGTGGCACATTCCTGTAATCCCAGCTACTTGGGAATCTGAGGCAGGAGAATCACCTGAACCTGGGAGGCAGAGGTTGCAGTGAGCTGAAATTGCACCATTGCACTCCAGCCTGGGCAACAAGAACAACACTCCATCTCAAAAAAAAAAAAAAAAAAAAATTTCACTGAAGAGGAAGATATTGGTGGAAGGGATAAAGGAAGATGTGATCCAACTATATACGGTCTACAAAAGACATACTTTAGTTATCCTTTTTTTGCTGTTATTTCTTTTATAAGAGACATACTTTAGATTGAAAAACACACAGAGTTTAAAAGTAAAAGGAGAGAAAAAGATATACCATGCAACAGTAACTAAAAGATAGCTGGAGTGGCTATGCTAATATCAGACAAAATAGATTTCAAGACAAAAAATTGTTACTGAAGACAAAGAAGGACATTTTAGAGTGATAAGTGTCAATTAATCAGAAACACATGTCAATTATAAACATATATACACTTAACAATTGAGCCTCGAAATACACAAAGCAAAAATTGACATAATTGAATCAAGATATAGACAATTCAAAATAATAGTTGGAGACTTCAATATCCCATTTTCAATAATAGATAGTACAACAAAGCAGAAGATCAGTAAGAAAATAGGAGAACAGCACTATAAACCAAGTAGACTCAACAGACATCTATGGAACATTTCACTGAACAAAAGCAGCATGCATGTTGTGTCAAGAGCACATGAGACATACTTCAGGATAGAATACGTATTAGGCCTAAAACCAGCCTCTTTGAGAGAACACAGTGCACCAAGGAGACTATTATTATGACTATTGGGAGGATAATACCAAGAGTTTGAAGTATGCTCCTCACCCAAGGTCCCCATAAACCAAACTTCTTAAAATCAAATAGATCAAAGAATGATCTATTTGATGATGAGTCTACTCGCTTAACTAAGTGGTCTTTTCATGAATCCTTTAAAACTGAATTTATATAATCTACATTTGATGTATTTCTCCATAGGCCACAGGTGCCAGCAGCTGCACATCTACTTTTCTGTTTAGCCAATTCTATAATTTAACATAACTTTCACAAGAGAATTTAAAGTCTGTTGTGTAACTGTAGCCTTTACAATAGAATCTGCTAGAGAGCCTATCATGAGGGACACATTTCTAACCATTGCCTCTTTTATTCCAAACCATGGAAAAAGGGCCTAACAATTGATGCACTTCTAGAAGAGTGCCTCCTGGCAATTTCTCTTTAACCCATGATGTGGGATAAGAGGAGTAAATCAATGTTCTATTTCTGACTGATTATGAGGCAAGGTATGTACCATTAAAGTTTCTCACCGATATTGGGCCTTCATCTTTTATCTATCAAAGTATAAGTTTATCCATGTGTACGGCTGGCTGCAAAATCCTTCACAAATAAAAGTATACACCGTAAGTGCATGCAACAGACCCCTTTTTCATTTCTGTTGTTCATAGAGGCATAAACAAGGAAAAAAATATTCAAAGATAAGAGTCTCATGACAGTAGAAGTCTTGATCCATGATCTTAGGAAGAACTGTTCACATCAAAGATGCCATTTTCTTCTGGGGAGACACTTCCTTGGTTAGCTTTACCTTAAGGGTTCCAATGAGTGTACAGTTCCAAGAGTGTGGAGGGATCCTTCTCAGTTGTGAGATTATGAACCCAAGGTTCAGGATCCCCAAGTTTCATTGCAGTGTGGATGGCAAGGACAGTCCTTCTCTGATGCTCTCAGAAGAGCCAATCTTCGGGTTCTAGATTGTGAAGGGGCTGATTGTCCTCAGTGAACCAAAAAAAGCTTTTTTTAACCTGGTGAAAATACACTGTAGCATAATAATCTACTGTTATAACATCAGCCCTCTTGCATGGGAGAGCATTTATACAACTAGAAAACATGTATTAAAAATGATAATTGAATGGGCTGGGTGCAGTGGCTCACGCCTGTAATCCCAGCACTTTGGGAGGCCGAGGCGGGCGGATCATGAGGTCAGGAGATCGAGACCATCCTGGCTAACACGGGGAAACCCCGTCTCTACTAAAAAAATACAATACAAACAAAAAAGATAATTGAATGAAATCCCTTTATAAAATGTATAAATGGCCCATCCGGTAACCAAATATACATGAACCTTGATTGTTTTCCCAGGAATTTGGGTTTGACAAACCAAACATTAGTTATAAATGATTTTAGCAATTTATAAATTACCACACCAGTATATTTAATTTGGATTATTTTATCTTTTGCATGATGAGTCATGGAATGCAGAATACCAGTTATTTCTCCAAATTAGGTGCTAAGCACTAACTGATGGGTTATCATAGGTAATTTGACTTAGACCATGGATTTTATTCAAATTGTACATCTAAACAATTTCATTGTCAGCTTATTTAACACTAAAATTTGGCAAAGTATTTTCTAGGTATTCAGTTAATTTCTGTTCTACTTGGGTTAGCAGTTTTATAAACCAGTCAGTCTTTTCAGTCAGTTCCAGGAATTCTTACCCAGTTCAAATGATATAATTCTAAAGTTACTAGAAACCTGGATTCAAGAGTGCTTTTTAGGGTCCTTTCCATCCCTTCATGAATCTCCTAAAACACACCATATTCTAGGATTTTGCATGCTTGTGAAGTTTTCAGAAACTGCATCAGCATTAAGCAATAAACTGTGAAAATAAATTTAAGTAGTTATAGTTAAAGGCACAATAGACAATGAAATTTTGTTATTTCTGTGGTCTACAATAACTTAACATCATAACCATAATTATGATTGATAGCATATATTCAGACATATTAGAATTTTATAAATCCCATACGATTTTGGAACATAAATTAATGTAATTCACTAAAATATAACCTGAAGAAGGTTAAACATTATTTTTTATTTTGACAGTGCTTCCTATGTAACTTAAAATGTCAAATAGTCCTGTTACCTCTCTTTTGGATGTTTCAGGGGCCTTCTGTTGCATCCCAAAGTTAGAAGTCAGAAAAGGCAATTTTGAAGCTGAAATTTAATTTTGGGAAGGCTATCAAATATGTTAAAGGTTTAAAACACCTTGTGCTTAACCAGTTTGACGATGAGGTGAGATTCTTATAAATCTTTTGTAGCCCTTTACAATTTTTGTGAAAGAGGAGATCAGTGCTTTAAGAAAAGCCAGTTGTGCTTTTATTTTGATGTCAATTTACAGAAAAACTGAACAATACCCCTTTAAATTTAGTCAACATTTTCACACACAGAATTTTTTTTACAAGATTAATTTTTACAAACCTTCCACAACTTACTCAAACTTTTAGCTTTATCTTACCTAATTTAAAAATCCTTTAACCCTCTAAACTAGGCAAAAATTTACATTCCTGGGCCAGACGTGGTGGCTCACGCCTGTAATCCTAGCACTTTGGGAGGCTGAGGTGGCCAGATTGCCTGAATTCAGGACTTTGAGACCAGCCTGGCCGACATGGTAAAACACTGTCTCTACTAAAAATACAAAAAATTAGCTGAGTGTGGTGGCACGTGCCTATAGTCCCAGCTACTCGGGAGCCTGAGGCAGGGGAATTGCTTGAACCCAGGAGACAGAGGTTGCAGTGAGCCGAGATCATGCTGCTGCACTCCAGCCTGGATGATGGAGCAAGACTCTGTCTCAAAAAAAAAAAAAAAATTTACATTACCATGCCTTCTTATAGTCTTTTACCAAAAACACATTTCACTCTCCTCACACACCTTACACGTACAGTTATTTTTTTATTAATTTCAATTACATGTTATAATGGTAATTCTTAGCAACTTTTACTTTTGGTGTATAAATTTCCTTTCACAACTTACACAGACTATCTACAACATGCTTGGACTTTCTGACTTGTCCTAAAAATCCTTTTTTTTTTTTTTTTAAATGGAGTCTTGCTCTGTCGCCCAGGCTGGAGTGCAGTGGCGCGATCTCAGCTCACTGCAAGCTCCACCTCCTGGGTTCATGCCATATTCCCACCTCAGCATTCCGAGTAGCTAGGACTACAGGTGCCCACCACCATGCCTGGCTAATTTTGTTTTTGTATTTTTAATAGAGACGAGGTTTCACCATGTTAGCCAGGATGGTCTCAATCTCTTGACCTCATGATCCACCCGTCTCAGCCTCCCAAACTGCTGGGATTACAGGCATGAGCCACCTTGCCCAGCCAACATCTTTCTTTTTAAACAACCAGTTATTTTACTTTAGGACAAGATTTTACCATACAAGATTCTTTTTTTTTTTTTGAGGTGGAGTTTCACTCTTGTTGCCCAAGCTGGAGTGCAATGGCATGATCTTGGCTCACTGCAACCTCTTCGTCCCGGGTTCAAGTGATTCTCCTGCCTCAGCCTCCTGAGTAGCTGGGATTACAGGCGCATGCCACCACGCTTGGCTCAGTTTTTCTATTTTTAGTAGAAACGGGGTTTTACCATGTTAACCAGGCTGGTCTCAAACTCCTGACATCAGGTGATCTGCCCACCTCAGCCTCCCAAAGTGCTGGGATTGCAGGTGTGAGCCACTTCACCCAGCCACAAGATTTTTTCTTTTCTTTTTTTTTTCTTAGAGATGGAGTCTCGCTCTGTTGCCAGGCTGGAGTGCAGTGGCGCAGTCTCGGCTCACTGCAACCTCCACCTCCTGGGTTCAAGCGATTCTCCTGCCTCAGCCTCCCAAGTAGCTGGGATTACAGGCACGTGCCACCACACCGGCTAATTTTTATATTTTTAGTAGAGATGGGGTTTCACCATGTTTGCTAGGCTGGTCTTGAACTCCTGACCTCATGATCTGCCCGCCTCAGCCTCCCAAAGTGCTGGGATTACAGGCGTGAGCCACTACGCCCAGCCACAAAATTCTTTCTTATATAAAATACATTTTCTTTATAACTTTCTTTGCATAGCTAGGGGGCATGGCTAATTCCACATGCCCCAGGACTTATCTAGAATCTAATGTCTCCAAGCTAGGCAAATTGAACAATTTTGAAAAGTCAAAGCAGTTTATGACCTTAAAACATTTAGCAAACCTAGTATCTAACCTCCCTAATTTAGACCAAATGTCTTTATTTTTGCCAATAATCTTTAAAACTTTTTATTTCCCAAAGATTACTAAAGTTACATGAACTAAAAGGCATTATAGTTTTTATTTTTCTTTCAAAATATTTGATTTAAGTGCTTATTTTTCTTAAAGCCAATTAATTAGAGCTCTTTTATATAAACATTACACACACAACAAATATATAACTACACAGACAGACAGAAGAAGATCCAGTAGTTGCAGTAGTTGTAAGATTTTTCATTTACCAGTTTCTAAGTTTCTTTTTTTTTTGGATGAAGTCTAGCTCTGTCACCCAGGCTGGAGTACAGTGGTGCAAACTCGGCTCACTGCACCCTCTGCCTCCTGGGTTCAAGTGATTCTCCTGCCTCAGCCTCCTGAGTAGCTGGGATTACAGTTGCATACCACCATGTCTCGCTAATTTTTGTATATTTAGTAGAGACGGGGTTTCACCATGTTGGTCATGCTGGTCTTGAACTCCTGACCTCAGGTGATCCATACACTTCGGCCTCCCAAAGTGCTGGGATTACAGGCGTGAGCCACCACACCTGGCACCAGTTTCTAAGTTTCTTAATTGGATTACTGGCTTTACAGTGGAGTCCTTGGAAGAACAGGGCCAGGAAAGCATACAGTTTCTAGGGCCTAATATAAAAAGCAGGCACAGCCAGAAAGCAAAACATCTCCAATAATTAAGTCCCATTGTTATACCAGATCCTGGATCCCCTCCAAAAAAGAGGGCGTCAACCCATCCCCATGGGAGTCTTATTTCTCAGTCGGGGGTGGAGACATCTCCATACTTCTGTGTGGCCAAGAGCATGCTTCTCTGGTCCAAATGTGCAGAGCTGAGTATTTCCCCATAACTGTAACTAGACATCCCTAAAAGTATATTGCCTACTTAGTTATTACACAACAAAGCTCTCTCATAATGTGAAATAATAATTTCTGATACTCCCAAAGTAAAAAATGTCAGATAATGCAATGCAAAACAGAACACAGCCTTAGATTTTGAAAAGCATCTATCCACTTCCAATTCTGAAATCCCAGGAATTGGAAGCAGAGGAAAACAGAGGTTTTTCCCAAAACAGAATCTCTTGTATCTATTGTTTTTCCCAAGGAGTCCCAGGCTGTTAGAGCTTGAATATCCACTTTTAATTAAGCTGACTTTAAAAGTCCTTTTAAATTTCTTATTACCTGACTTTAGCCAGAACAAATGGCTGATATTTCTGGCTCTTAAACTTTACCAAAAGTAACCTCACAGGTGCTCTGATAAAGGAAAATTCAAGACAGTTTGTGGAGGGGAAGAGAATCAAAAAATGGCAAACGTTACCCAAATATCAACCAGAAAGTACTCATTCCCTAAGCTGGGAATTGAACCTGGGCCACAATTTTAAAATGGTGGAGACCAAAAGAAAGTACTGCCACGTAGTTACAAGGTCAAGCACCAAGGACATACTAGACAAGATAGAGACTTCATCCAGTTTTTTTTTTCAAGGACCTGCAGCAAAGTTTATTGCTGACCAGTTTTGCTGGGCCCTCCTGATGGGGTCCTAAGCCCGCATTCTATCCTAAGGTACCCCTCGTTATGACACAACAATATGGAAAGACACAAAAAGCACAATACAGCTTACGATTAGCCTCATGAATCATTTTTTCAATTAATCAAAACTTTACAGAGGAGATAAACAATGATTTTTACCATTCATTCAGCCAGTCTGCACAGAGAGAGAGAGGAAGAGAGGGGCCAGAAGCCTGACTAGTAAGAAATTCTTACCCTTTGGCCTGCATGCCAGGCTTCTGGGTTCCCTTTCCCTTCGTGGCCCTAGTGACCAAGATCTCCACACCATAGCCCTAGGGGCCAAGCCACATCATAAAGGAAAATCATATTTTTCTGTTTCAAGGAACCACAGGCAAAAGCCTCTGAATTTTGCAAGATGCCGCTCAACCGGTTGCATGGAGGCACCAAATATCAAACTGGCAAGGCTCAAACTTGACCCTGATTGGGCCCTGTCATCTTTAACCCATTTTAACCAAGAGGGACTTTACTGAGGGGAGGGTCTCTAACCCAATCCCATCCTTTACTCAGGTAAATGTACTCCATTACTTATCCAAAGTCAGCCTATTGGTGCTTCAGCAGTCTATTTCCTTTGGATCAGGATGGTAACTACGCTAAAAGGTTATCAGATTTAATATTTGAGAGTCTTTGTTTTAAAATGCACTTCAATGCATTGTTGTTCATTCAGAACATTCCATTGTACGTTGTCTTTAGTAAGATCTTGCCATTTCTGTAAGACTTTGCTGCTTTCTGTGCCTAATGCATAAGCCAGAAGGAACTCAGTTTTCCAGAAATTAAGGATCCCATTTTTACCTAAAATATTGGTTTTACTCTCCAGTTCCCTTGATTAACTTAGCCAATGGGTTTTTTCCTACTGCAAGAAAAATGAAACAAAGGGGTAGAACACAAAAATCCCCACAAATTTTTAAAAGCCAAATTTTACATCCCCTGCAATGTTACCATTTATTACCGGTTTCTTTCTGACCCAGTCAGATATAAGAGGCCTCTAACGGATCCAAGCCAGTTAATTATCAGATCAAATCCGTTCCTGGACTCAGTCCAGTTTCTGTTGCAACTTCCAAACCCAGTTTGGATCAGAAATTTGCTCAAAGAAATTCAGAGAGCTCAAAACACAAATCTGTGGAGCTCCAAAATTGAGATAACTTACTTATGATCCCTAGCTGCTCCAAGAGATCAATGTAGACAAGTGGGTCATGCAGGTACCTTGCTTGTTCACTCAGGACTCCTGGGTGTCGTGAGAAGCTCCACTTCAGACCCCACTTTTGACACCATCTGTTAAAAGAAAAACTTCAGCTGAATTAAATTTAAAGGAGTTTAACTGAGCAATGAATTATTTGCAAATTGGGCAGCCCCCAGAATCACAGAAGATTCAGAGACTCTTGGGTTGCCTTGTGGTCAGAATAAATTTATAGACGAAAAAGGGAAGTGATGTACAGAAATTGGGAGAGAAGTACAGAAACAACTGGATTGGTTACAGGTTGGCTTTTGCTTTATTTGAACACAGTTTGAACACTCAGCAGTCTATGAGTGGTTGAAGTATAGCTACTGGGATTTGCCAATGCTCAGCTATTGTTACAGGTGCATACTCCTAAATTAGGGTTTCAATCTTGTCTACCTATTAAGTTAGGTTATAGTTCGTCCACAAATACTCAAATATAGAAGTCTGGAGTCCTTCTCAGGCCACATAGTTTCCTTTAACAATATATACTATTACATAATACATAATATGTATAAAAAATATATAAAATGTATATTTTATATATAAATAAATATATTATATATAAATAAAAAATATATATAGGGTTTATTTTGTTCTCTCTTTTTGTTCTCTCTATAGAGAGAGAACAAAACAACACAAAAGATAGTGTGATATGGGCATGAGTACAGAAATATAAATCAATGAAATAGAATTGAGAGTCCCAAAATAAACCCATATATCTATCACCAACTGGTTTTTAATAAGAGTCCCAAAATTATTCATTAGGAATGAAAGAATATTTTCTTCAATAAATGGTATGGGAAAAGTTGAATAGCCACATGCAAAAAATGAATTTGAACCCCAACCTCACATCATATACAAAAATTAACTCAAAAAGGCTCATAGACTTAAATTTAAGAACTAAAACTATAAAACTCTTAGAAGAAAACATATGTGTAAATATTCTTGACTTTGGATTAGACAATAGGTTTTTGGAGATGACACCAAAAGTACAAGAGACAAAGAAAGAATAGATGAATTAAAATTCATCATACTAGAAACTTTTCAACCAGGCGTGATGGCTCACACCTGTAATCCCAACACTTTGGGGGGCCGAGGTAGGCAGATTACCTGATGTCAGGAGTTCAAGACCAGCCTGGTTAACATGGTGAAACCCCGTCTCTACTAAAAATAAAAAAAATTAGCCAGGCCTGGTGGCATGCACGTGTAATCCCAGCTACTTGGGAGAGTGAGGCAGGAGAATCACTTGAGCCCGGGAGGTGGAGGTTGTAGTGAGCTGAGATCATGCCACTGCACTCCAGCCTGGGCAACAGAGTGAGCCTCCATCTCAAAAAAAAAAAAAAAAAAAAAAGAAACTTTTGTGTTTTGAAGAATACCATCAAGCAAGTGAAAAAGCCAGGGGCTAAAGCCTGTAATCCCAGCACTTTGGGAGGCTGCGGTGGGAATACTACTTGATCCGAGGAGTTCAAGACCAGCCTGGGTAACGTAGGGAAACCCTCATCTCCACCAAAAAAAAAAAAAAAATTAGCCAGACATAGTGGCATGCATCTGTGTTCCCAGCTACTTAGGAGGCTGAGGTGGGAGGATTGCTTGAGACCAGGAAGTTGAAGCTGCTATGAGCTGTGATAACACCACTGCACTTCAGCCTGGGTGACAGAGTGAGACCTGTCTCAAGAAAGAAATAACAATGAATTATTAGAGAAAAGAAAGAGAAAAAAATAACTCCTGGAATGTGAGGAAGTATTTTCAAGTCATACATCAGTAAGAGGAGTTATATCCAGAATATTTGAAAAACGCTTACAACTCCATAATAAAAAGAGAAATAAGGTGAGTGTGGTGGCTTGGACCTGTAATCCCCACACTTTGGGAGGCCAAGACAGGCAGATCACTTGAGCTCGTGAGTTCAAGACCAGTCTGGACAACAAGGTGACTTTCCATCTCTATGAAAAATACAAAACTTGGCCAGGCATGGTAGTGTGTGCCTGTGGTCTCAGCTACTTGGGAGGCTGAGGTGGGAGGATACCTTGAGCCTGGGAGGTGGAGGTTGCAGTCACCAAGATGGCACCATAGCACTCCAGCCTGGTCAACAGAGCCAGACATTATCTAAAAAACAAAGAAAAATAAAAAAGACAAATAAGCCAATTTAAAAATGGTCAAAGGATTTGAACAGACATTTTTTCAAAGGAGATACACAAATTGTTGATGGGCTCATGAAAAGGTGCTCAATGTCACTCTGTGTCAATAGGGAAATATAAAGCAAAACCAGAAAGAGATACAATACCACTACACACCCACTAGAATAGCTATAAAGAAAAAGAATAATAGTAACAAGTATTGGTGAGGCTGTGGGTAATTGGAGCTCTTTTAAATTGTTATTAGGAATGTAAAATGGTGCAGTTATTCTGGAAAACAGCTGGACAATCCCTCAAAAAGTTAACCATAGAGTTACCATATGACACAGCAATTCCACTCCTAGGTATATACTCAAGGTATGTACCAAGAAAATTGAAAACACGCATCACACAAACAATTAAACATGAATGTTCATAGCATCATTATTTATAATCACCAAAAACTGCAAGTAACCCAAATGTCTATCAACAGATAAATGGCATATTCAGAAAATGGAACATTATTCGGCCATAAAAAGAAAAGAAGTTCGGATACATACTATTACATAGATGAACCTTGAATACATTATGCTAGCTAACTGAAAGAAGCTAGACACAAAAGATCACATATTATATGATCCTTTGTATATGAAATGTCCAGAAGGGCCAATTCATAAAGAGAAAAGGTAGATTAGTGGTAGCCAGGCTTTTAGTTAGGGAAAGTGGGGAGTAGCAGCTGATGTGGTTTCTTTTTAAGTTGATTGAAATGTTATGGATGACAATGCAGTGGCTCATGCCTGTAATCCCAGTATGTTGGGAAACCAAGGCAGGAGGATCACTTGAGGCCAGGAGTTTGAGACCAGCCTAGTCAACACAGCAAGATCCTGTCTCTACTCCATTCATATATATATGTTCATATATATGTTCGGGAATTATCACAAATTTATGTGATGGATGTGAACTCTGTGAATATACTAAAAGTCACTAAATTATACACTTCAAAGAGAGGTATGTGTGAATTTTATTTCAGTAACACTGTTACAAAAAAGGAAAAGTAAGCTCGAGTATCTATGTTAATATCCAACAAAACATATTTCAGATAAAACAATATGACTAGGGATAAAGAGGATCATTTCATGATAAAGATGCCAATTTATCAAAAGGGCATAATAATGTTAAATATTTATGTACCCGATAGCAGAGCATACATTAAGAAAATACTGATATAACTAAAATTAGACAAATCCACAATTATAGCTGAAGATTGTAATGCCTGTCTCTCAATGATTGATGTAACAAATAAACAGAAAATAGGTAAGGATGTAAAAGATGTAGCCTAAGCTATCAACCAATTTTACTTAATTGGCATTTCTAGAACACTTTATAGAACCACAAAATTGTTTAGTAAAAAATTTGGCCTTTCCCAAAGAGAGGTCTGGCCTTTGCTCTCAGCTTCTGGCAGGTAATCTGTGTCATACCAGATAGAAATGTCTTTGTTTAAAGCAGGGGCTGGCCACATCATATCTTGGGGTGGGGCTGGCCATAGCTAACAGTCTGAGAGTAGGGGCTTTGGCTGACCTGGTAGAAGCCAACCTGGAGACTGAATTCAACCATATGGGCAATCAATCATGTCTTTATGATGAGGCCCCAATAAAAACTCCGGACACCAAAGCTCAGGTGAGCATTCCTGGATGGTAATATTTCTTGTGTATTTTCACAAACCAATGATGAGTCCTGATTCCACAGAGAAAGGAAAACAGGAACTGCATGTTGGATACTTATCCTAGACTCTGTTTAACATGCTTGTATCATGCCTGATTTTAATCTGTACCTTTTCCCAATAATCACAGCTATAGCCATGAGTATATTTTTGGTGGGTTATCTGAGTTCTAGCAAGTTATCGAAACTTAGAGTGGTTTTGGGAACACCCTGAGCTTTCAGCTGGTGTCAGAGGTGAGGGCAGTCTTGAAGACTGTGACCTCTAACTTTATAGTTGACCCAAACCCTTGCAAGAATATTCTTTTTTATTTATTTACTTTGTAAAGGTAGGCTCCCAGTATGTTGCTCATGCTGGTCTTGAATACCTGGTCTCAAGTGACCCCCTTCCTCAGCCTCCCAAAGTGCTGGAATACAGGTGTGAGCCACTGTGTCCAGCCTTATTTTCTATTTTATTCATTTATTTTTGAAACTTCTTTTTTTTTTTTTTGAGACAATGTCTCGCTCCGTCACCCAGGTGGAGTGCAGTGGCATGATCTCAGCTCACTGCAACATTCATCTCCCAGGTTCAAGCGATTCTCCTGCCTCAGCCTCCTGAGTAGCTGGGATTACAGGCGTGCACCACTTGTATTTTTAGTAGAGATGGGGTTTCACCATATTGGTCAGACTTGTCTTGAATTCCTGACCTCATGATCTGCCTGTCTCGGCCTCCCAAAGTGCTGGGATTACAGGCGTGAGCCACCATGCCCAGCCTGAAAATTCTTTTTTAGCACACGTGGAACCGTATACCACAGACCATATTTTGGGACATAAAACAAGTCTTAATACATTTAAAATAAATCAAATTATATTAAGTGTGTTACTTTACTTCAGTGGAATTAAATTAGAAATCAAGATCAGAGTAAGGCAAAGAATCCTCCTAAACTCATGCATGACAGTCATGAAGTTCACCTTCCTCTGGAAGGGAAAGAAAGGTGGTGGGGTTTAGGGTATTGCAGTACTGGAAATATATGCATGTTAGAGTAGAAGGATTCCATAGGAGGTTGGTCTAGAAGCACAAAAATGTCGGGTGGCTTTTAGTTGAGTATAAGGCTTGAACAGCATGAGGGACCATGAGGTTAAGTGGAAATCCTAAGACTAAAGCATCAAAGGCTTCAGTTAACTTTGCAGCTGCTGTGACTACACACAAACAAAAAGGGTAGGCTTTTGCTACAGGGTCAAGTGAGAGGCCAAAATAAGCTACTGGACTATGATGTCCATTGAGCTTTTGATTTAGAAGCCTGCAAGATTCGTACTGATCTTTCATGTATACATAGAAAGGTTTATAGTAATTGGGAAATTCAAGGATAGGAATGTTTTGAAGGGAGTCCTTTAAGTTATAGAAAATAGTCTCAAGTGAACCCGTCCAGGGCAAGGGCTCAGGTATTTCTGCTGTTATCAGAACATTTAAAGGGACGCAAATTCTGAAAATTAGGAATGCAATGTCTACGGTTTTCTATGAGGCTGAGAAATCCTTGATGTTGTCTTTTAATAACTGGATGGGGGCAAGTCCCTAAAGTTTTTCAACAAAGAGGCTTTCCATCTCGTGTGATGTCATGGCCTAGATAATGGATGTGATAAACTTGGGAGTTTATTCTTAGAGACATTGTGTGCCTTGTATGTAAACACTCTCTGCAAATGGAGAAAATCAATTTTGGAAGCCTCTTCATCTGGAGAGCATAACAGAGGGTCATCATATTTTATAAGAATAGATTCCTAGGAGAATTGGATGTCTCCAAGGTTATTGTTGAGTTCTTGGGCGAAATAAGAGGATGCTTCTGTAAGCCCTTGGGCATCACTGTCTATATGTATTGTTGGTTTTTCCAAATAAATACTATGAGTATGTTTGCAAGGACATTCTAAAGCATGTAAGGAATAGGCCAATGACTATAAAGTAAGTAGCTGTTTCAGGGATTGAGGGTAGGATGGAATTGGCATTGGCAATTACAGGGAAGCAAGAAAGCAAATTATTAATAACCCTATCTCTTGTATGATGTGGCTGCTAAACCTATAGGCTTTTTTTTTTTTTTTTTAGATGAAGTCTTGCTCTGTTGCCCAGGCTGGAGTGCAGTGGCATGATCTTGGCTCACTGCAAGCTCCACCTCCCGGGTTCACGCCATTCTCCTGCCTCAGCCTCCCGAGTAGCTGGGACTACAGGTGCCCTCCACAGCGCCCGGCTAATTTTTTGTATTTTTAGTAGAGACTGGGTTTCACTGTGTTAGCCAGGATGGTCTCGATCTCCTGACCTCGAGATCTGCCTGCCTCGGCCTCCCAAAGTGTTGGGATTACAGGCATGAGCCACCACGCCCAGCCTATAGGCCTTTTTGATAGGCAGAATGCAGTTAATACAAGGGCTGGTGCAAGGAATAATTTGGGGTTTTTTTGGTTGTTTTTTTTTTTTTTTTTCTGGCAGCATACAGGATAAGACAGCCTAAAGGGCTTCTACATCCTCCTTTTTGTAGCAGTTTTGGGAGGTCATAACTAGATCAGTTGAGATCTTTAAGGATCTAGCCTTTGTTGTGTGTCCCACATCTGAATTGTCTTTGGCCCAGAGTTTATCACAGCTAGGTCCAAGGTTTGAGGTGTTTATAGGGGAGGCATCAGGCAGTGATTAATCAGTCTCTGCCATCATCAAACTATTGACCAAATTATGGTACTCCACTTATAACAAATTCACTGGAGTGAAGTTACTAAGCAGAAAAGTATATTGACTAGTGAGAAAGCCCAAACAGACAGGAAACAGCTGAGACAAAGGCAGAGACTGAGGTGTATTTGAGATTTCTACCACTGAAAACTTTTTGTTACTCCAAGGAAGAGAATGACAGAATGGTGGTATGGTTTACGGTAGAAAGTAAGCATTCTGTTTTTGCAATTGCGTGCAAATTTCTCCCTTTTGTGTTAAGGGCAGTTGTGGACAGACCAGAGCAGCTACTCCTGCAGAGCTGTCATTTGGCAACCAAACTTTGCTCTTTGTCTTTTCAGATCCTATCTTTTGAGCTAAGGTAGAGCAACTGTTCTTTCAGTGTCCCTTTTCCTTATACTATGAACAGGTGTCTTTGTCTAGACTAGACATAGAGGTGTCCTTGTTCTAGTTATTTCTAGTTGCCTAATCTAAAAAGTTTATTTATAAATTTTTTCTAAGTCAAAATATCACAGTATTCTGAAAGATCTTGTAATTTAGAGAAGGGGACATACTATCTTCTATTTTTAAACTAAACCTGCCACCTTGGTTTAGGACCATCCAGAAAAAATTAAATAAGACAGCTGTGATATCTTTGCCCTTGTCAAGACTAGAGAGCTCCTGGAAAGTGGTAGTTAAGTGATCTCTGAAATTAGGATAACTTTATTCTTTCTCTGTTTACAAATTTGATTTTTTTTTTTTTTTTGAGATGGAGTCTTGCTTTGTCACCCAGGCTGGAGTGCAGTGGCATGATCTTGGCCCACTGCAACCTCCACCTCCTGGGTTCAAGTGATTCTCCTGCCTCAGCCTCCTGAGTAGCTGGCATTACAGGCACCCACCATCATGCCTGGCTAATTTTTCTATTTTTACAGATTTTTTGTATTTTACAGATTTGACTTTTTGATCTTTTTTTTTTTTTTCTACAGGAAAGACTTCATGGAAAGCTGCTAAGAGATCTTGTCTCATATATATAATATATATATATATAGAGAGAGAGAGACAGGATCTCTTTAAAAAATCCTGTGCAATTGGCATCACAATGTATGTACGTATGTGTAAGAGGCTGGACCATGATCTGGAATTTCACTGAATGACTGGTGATTGCCCATACCCAAATAATGAGAACATGCAAGAGACAATAGTTGGTCCAGAAAATCTCAGCACTATACCCCACCATGCCTGTAAGAGTTCTGAATGGTGCAAGATAATCAAATCAATAGGCTTATACCAAGGACAATTAAAAAAAAGAATAGAATAGAGGCTTAGACGATGCTTATGAGGAGGGAGGGGCCGGGCGTGGTGGCTCATGCCTATAATCGCAACACTTTGGGAGGCTGAGGCAGGAGGATTGCTTGAAGCTATGATCTCAAGACCAGCCTGGGCAACATAGCAAGACCTCATCTCTACAAAAAAGATTAGCCAGGCATGGTGGTGCATGTCTTTAGTCCCAGCCACTTGGGAGGCTGGGGCAGGATGATGGCTTGAGCCCAGGAGACTGAGCCTGCAGTGAGCCATGATCATGCCACTGCACTCCAGCCTGGGGAACAGAAGACTCTATCTGGAAAAAAAAAAAAAAAGAGAGAGAGAGAAAGGAGGGGTGCATTTACCCAGAGCAGGACTTACTCAGCTCTGGAGTCACCAGTACTCTTAGGAGAGAAAACAGCAAAGTTTCTACCGAATTTTATCCATATTTGAGCAGAAGAGGGTCCAGGATTCAGGTCACAGCATCAGAAACCGTGGGAGAAAATGAGCCACCGCACCACGAAGCCCAAGCGTCCATTCAGAATGCTGCAGCCTGAGAACTGTTCTGAAGGGATGCTTTGCCTTGAGGAAGAAAGTGGAGATTGTATAGAGCTTTAGCCTAAGAAGGTCAAGTTGAAGTTCAACTAGTCTTGAGAATAGTTGGTCAAAAATGCTTCTTGGAAAAATGGTTTTTTTTTTTCAGTTTTTGGCTATTCATTGGGCAGTACAGCCAAAGAATACCAATATTTATAAGTAGCAGGCTACTGAGTGTGGTCTGAGGAATAGGACAGGTATAGCCTCTCAGAAAGTAGAATTTGTGACAAATGAATTATTATTTATTTTGAGATGGAGGCTCCCTCCCCCAAATGATTCTCCTGCCTCAGCGTGCTAAGTAGCTGGGATTACAGGCTCCTGCAACCATGCCCTGCTAATTTTTGTATTTTTAGTAGAAATGGGGTTTCACCATGTTGGCCAGGCTGGTCTCGAACTCCTGACTTTGTGATCTGCCCACCTTGGCCTCCCAAAGTGTTGGCATTACAGGCGTGAGCCACTGCACCTGGTGGACAACTGAATTATTTACCAAGGAAATTCAAACTCATGCTCTGATTAAGGAAACAAATACTAATACCATTGAGATTTGTAGGTGTTGTTATTATTATTATTATTATTATTATTATTATTATTATTATGAGATGGAGTCTCTCTCTGTCACCCAGGCTGGAGCGCAATGGCACTATCTTGGCTCACTGTAACCCCCACCTCCTGGGTTCAAACTATTCTCATGACTTAGCCTCCTGAGTAGCTGGAATTACAGGCACCTGCCATCACACTCAACTAATTTTTGTATTTTTAGTAGAGACGGGGTTTCACCATGTTGGCCAGGCTGGTCTTGAATTCCTGACCTCCAGTGATCCACCCACTTTGGCTTCCCAAAGTGCAGGGATTACAGGTGTGACCCACCACTCCTGGCCATGTAGGTGTTATATTTTTACCTCAGTATCTGTTCCTGCCCAGCAGGACCTGGGTACCTCATTTGCTAACAAAGTGTTGGAGCCGTACTGGAAGTTTCCTTTATTCCCCCTTTCTAAGAGGAAATCTTTATTTTAGCTACACTGATTTTCCCCATTTTTGTAAAGTAGGGCTATTTTTTTTCTTTTTCTTTTTTCTGAGATGGAGCCTTACTCTATCACTCAGGCTGGAGTGTAACAGCGCAATCTTGGCTCACTGCAACCTCTGCCTCCCAGGTTCAAGTGATTCTCCTGCCTCAGCCTCCTGAGTAGCTGGGATTACAGGTGCCCACCATCATGTCCGGCTAATTTTTGTATTTTTAGTAGAGACAGGGGTTTCTTCATGTTGGTCAGGCTGGTCTCTAACTCCCGACCTCAAGTGATCGGCCCACCTCGGCCTCCCAAAGTGCTGGGATTACAGGTGTGAGCCACTGCGCCCAGCCATAAAGTAGGGCTATTGCAAGTGGTTAACTCAATCACTTAGTCCATGTGGAGTTAAGAGTGCTAGGGCTGGAATCCTGGCTGTGCTAACTCTAACTGTGTGACCCACCTTATGGTTATGCTTGACCCGTAGTTGAAATTTTAGAATTGGAGCCCTAAGAGTTCTTTCTCAGCCTGTCTCTATGTTCATGTGTCCATAACTCATGAAAGTCTTTATGCTCATTGTATGAATGTGTAGTATTATCCTACCTCCAGATGGTGTTAATAATTTAGATTACAAAGCCTCTTGGAAGAATTCTATTTTGATTGGCTTAGAGATAAATAAGCACTTATATAAGTGAAGTGTTCCTAAAATTCCCAGAAATTAAGGAAATCTAACCTCTATTTTTTTTTTTTTTCTGACACAGGGTCTCACCCTGTCACCTAGGCTGGAGTGCAGTGGCACTATGATGGCTCACTGCAGCTTAGACCTCCTGGGCTCAAGTAATCCTCTTGCTTCAGCCTCGCAAACAGCTGGGACTACCTACAGGCAAACGTCATCACAACTGGCTAATTTTTGTATTTTTTGTAGTGATGGGGTTTCGCCATGTTGCCCAGGCTTGTCTTAAACTCCTGGGCTTAAGTGACCTGCCTCCCTTAGCCTCCAAAAGTGCTGGGATTACAGGCATAAGCCACTGCACCCAGCCTTCTAATATTTTTAATGTGAAAAAAGAAGTATTCTTATAGAAACTAACTCAGAAACATTTTAAGAACTCGAGTTAACCTAATTTAGATAAATCTCTAGCAAGCAAAACTAGTTTAATACTTTTGGTTTAGTAAAAACAGCTATATTTTCTCTGAATTACAGGCATTAAATATAAGTGTACATTTTTATTCTACTTAGGTATGCTCTTTAATTTATACAGATCTACTGATTGAAGAAGTTAGCCTTAGTTCTACGTAATGTTTAAGATTACAAAACATATAAATTTATGTTTAACCAAATAGAAAAATCATTCCGATAAGCTTTATTTTGACAATAATTAGCTTATAGTTTCCAAGATCTTTGGTAACTTAAAATTTTAGAGTGATTCTGAATTGCAACAATTAATGGATATTCATTAGGCATCTAGATCATTTCCAAGAAACACTGATTACTAAGCATAATTTTAAGTTACGTGCTCCTTATTTTTATATGCAGCAGAGAGAGACTTTATCTTTGGGTTTTTTATGAGTATGTTCATTTCTGCCACTTTGAGAGTATATAAATGCTGTTGTGTGACAGATAATGCACAATTATCCACTGTAGAGGAGGAAAAAACCCTTTTTGTCTACCCTCCTAGGTTCTGCAGCTGGGGCCCCAGAAATTAAACTGAGGTAAGACAGATAAACACCAGAAAAACAAACAGAGCTTATTAACAAATGCAACATGGATACACGCAAGAAGAACTCAGTGATGAGTAACTCAAAGGGGTGTTTAGAACTTGGGGCTTATATAACATGTTAGCAAAGAACAATAAATTTGTAGAGAAGTGACAAGATAAAGGAAAAGCAATTTAGGGCTGAGTGTGGTGGCTCATACCAATAATTCTAGCACTTTGGGAGGTCAGGGCAGGAGGATCGCTTGAGCCTAGGAGTTTGAGACCAGCCTGGACAACATAGGGTCTCTACAAAATAAAAAAGTTAGACAAGCATAGTGGTACGTACCTGTGATCCCAGCTACTCAGGATCACTTGAGCCCAGGAGGTTGAGACCACAGTGAGCCTTGATTGTGCCACTGCACTCCAGCCTGGGCAACAAAGTAAGGCCTTATTTCAAATAAAAAAAAATGGAAAGGGGCCAGGCATGGTGGCTTACGCCTGTAATTCCAGCACGTTGGGAGGCCGAGGCAGTCGGAGTTCGAGACCAGCCTGGCCAACATGGTGAAACCCCATCTCTACTAAAAATACAAAAATTAGCTGGGTGTGGTGGTTGGTGCCTGTGATCCCAGTTACTTGGGAGACTGAGGCAGGAGAATCGTTTGAACTCGGGAGGCGGAGGTTGCAGTGAGCCGAGGTCATGCCATTGCACTCCAGCCTGGGCATCAGGGTGAGACTCTGTCTCAAAAAAACAAACAAACAAACAAACAAACAAAAAACACCAAAAAGAAAAGGAAAAGCAGTTTAGGCCTTTTAGGGATGGCAAACTGTGGAAAGGTAAATATATGGGGGAAACTAATGGATGATAAGAGCTATTTTATAAGGATTTCTATGTAGATTCCTCTCTGTGCCATTTCTGGGCTGTTAAGAGTCTAGAGTTGTCTCTGGTAATTAAGAGTTTCATAGTTGTCCTTCTATTGCTGGTGTGGGAGAGACAGACACCTCTACAAACGAAAATTCATGTCTGACTTTTAGGCAAATGAGGGGGAGGGCGAGAATTTTTTTCAGTGTCTGCTGTTTCTCAATTGCTTTCAGCTCAAAATAATCCTTACGCCAAAGTGGCATATTGTGGGGTGGCATATTCTGATCCCCTACATCACCCCTTAGTTTTCACTGTTAAATACAAGTTACTATGGTTAATTGTCTGGTGCATTCAGTCTTTCACACTTTAAAATATCTAGTATCTCTGAATTCATTCATGTCTTTTTATTTCCATCACAAACACCACCCTCCTTGTCCAAGCCATAAATCTTTTTCACCTGGTGTATTGAATTAGCTTTTTAACCATCCGTACAGTTTAGAGTAATATTTATAAAATTAAAGTCAGAATGTGATATTCAGTTTGTAACTGTCAGTGTCCCACTGCATAGTCTAACCCCACATGATTTCTCCAGCTTCATCTTCTGTCCCTTTTCTTCTCACTCACTTCTCTGGAGCCAGACATGTTTCCTTGGGTCTCCATGAACATACTCCCCAGCCCAGAGCCTTGGTGCTTGTTCTTCTCTCTACCTGAATGTTCTTTGCATGGCTGGATCCTTTTCATCATCTGGTCTTAGAGGAAATATTACCCTCTGTGGTATGATATGACATATCCCAGTTCCTGTCACAGGGCTCCTAAAATCCTTAGAACATCCTGAGTGATAGGGGTGCCTTCAGTTATGCATAATGAGCCCCCTTGGATCACACCTGGGTTCATGATAATGAGTGATTTGGGGTGAAGCCCCTAGATAGCCCAGGATGTGGCCAGTCACCAAAAAGACCCAATGATTAGAGGATTAGAAAGTTGGAACTTTCAGCCCATCCAACAGCCTCCAGGAAAGGGGGCTGGAAGCTAGATGTTAAGCTCTATAAAAACTCCTTAACAAGACCTGATGAGCTTTCAAGTTGCTGAACACGTGGAGGTGCCTTTTCCCCAATGCCTTTCCCTATGCACTTCTGCATCTGGCTTTTCATCTCTACCCTTTATAATCAATAGGCTTAGTAATAAACCAGTAAATATAAGTAAGTGTTTCCCTGGATTCTATGGCCTGTCCGAGCAAACTATCAAACCTGAGAAGGGGGATTGTGGGAACCCAGATTTATACCTGGTACATCAGAATCACAGGTCATAACCTGGGACTTGCAATTGGCACCTGAAGTGGGGCAGTCTTGGGAGACTGAGCCCTCACCCTGTGGGATCTGTTGCTGTGTCCAGGTATCTAGTGTCAGAATTGAATTGAATTATAGGATATGCAGTTACCATACACTGGAGAATTGATAGGGAGAAATGCCAACACAATTTGGTGATCACAAGTTAAGTGTTCTGAACTGCTTTGAGTGTGAGAGCAAGAAAATCCATTAGTTTGGCTTTTTATATCTAATAGACCTCAGAGACCTTCCCTGACCACCCTATCTACACTAGTTTCTCCCACATCGTATTCCGTTTTTAATTTTCTTCTTAGTGTCTACCAAGTACCATCATCTGAAACTACCTAAATCCCTTTTTACTTGATTATTTTCTGTCTTCCCAACCAGAACATAAGCTCCAAGAAAATAGGGACCTTATATTAATCATCACTGTTTCCTCAAGGCCAAGAATGCATCTGACCATAATAGAAGCTCAAGAAATGTTTGTTGCCAGGCACGGTGGCTTATGCCTGTAATCCCAGCACTTTGGGAGGCCAAGGCGGGCAGATCACAAAGTCAGGAGTTCGACACCAGCCTGGCCAATATGGCGAAACCTCATCTCTACTAAAAATGCAAAAATTAGCCAGGTGTGGTGGTGCGCACCTGCAGTCCCAGCTACTTGGGAGGCTGAGGCAGAAGAATCACTTAAACCCGGGAGGTGGAGGTTGCAGTGAGCCGAAATTGCACCACTGCACTCCAGCCCGGGCGACAGAGCGAGACTCCATCTCAAAAAAAAAAAAAATTAAAAAAAAAGAAAAAAGAAATGTTTGTTTATGGGTGAAAGAATATCAGCAACATTGCTGGATCTTACCATGTGTATTTCCAACCCTACTGAGGTGAAAAGCCAGGCCTGGGCCAGGACTGTGGGTCTTCCATTTCTTAGCAACCCCAGTTGTTTTCTGCTTAATGGCTTTAGCCTTCAGGCATAGATCCAGAACAAAAGGGTATCAAGGGAGTTGCAAGGAACCTATCTTCTTTAATCTCCCCAGGAATGTTGCCCCTGCCCCCAAACTGCATTCCAGTCTTAGCCTTGGAATGAGAGCCCTCTTTCACCAAAAGTGTGCATGACAAGAGGCTGTTTCAGAGGGTCCAAGACCAGGGTTTCCACAATTCTTAGTGTCTTCTCCATATTCCCAGTAAGTGTTTTAGGATTCCACATTTTTCCAGTCAAGTGTATCAACCATTTTTACACAAAAATGGAGCAAATTAGAGCACTTGGTTGGCTGCATTTGGGCCTTGCAAGTTGTTGATTGATTGATCTGGATTTCAGAATCTGGTTTGTAGTTCAGTTTTTTTCCCTGCTTCCAGCTTTGCACATTTGAACTGGAATTTGCCTTATTGTCCCTTGTCAAAATCATTGAACTGTTCTGATTAGCCTAAATCTCACTCAACAGATTTGTTTTCTGTTGCTATAATGGAATACCACAGACTGGGTAATTTATAAAGAACAGAGATTTGTTTCTTGTAGTTCTGGAGGCTGGGAAGTCCAAGGTGGAGGGGCATGCATCTGGCCAGGGCCTTCTTGCTGCATCAACCCATGGCAGAAGGCAGAAAGGCAAGTGAGTAGATATGAGCCAGCTAGAGCAGACAGGCCCCAACTCGCTTTTTATCAGGAACCCACTCTGGAGATAACAGCATTAATCCATTCATGAGAGCAGAGCCCTCATGGCCTAATTGTCTGTTAACAATCCCACTTCTTAATACCATGACGATGGCAATTAAATTTCAACATGAGTTTTGGAGGGGGCATTCAAACAATAGCAGTACTGAGTGCCTCTTACATGCCAGACACAGTTGTGAGCACTTGAAATGCACCAGGAAGCAAGAGACGCAAGTTGCTTGCCCAAGAGGACCTTCCATTCTAGGGGTATCAGGGTAGGTGGGTGGGATAACAGCAAACATAATAACTAAGTAAATTGTACAGGATGTTGGGGGGTGATAAGTAAGTTCTTTGGACAAAAGAAAAAGTAAATGGGGGTAAAAAGATTTGTGGGAGGTAGCAATTTTAAACAGAGGAGCCCAGTGTAGATTGTGATATTTGAAAAAAGACTTGAAGGAAGTAAGGGAATCAGACCTAAATATTTAAGAGCAGAGCATCCCAGGCAAAGAGAGTAACTAATACTGAGGCCTCAAGGCAGGAGCATGCCTGGTAAACAGCAGTGTGGCTGGACTGGGTGAATGAGAATGGTAGGAGACAAGGCCAGAGAAGTGATGGGGGTTGAACCATGTAGGGCCTTGTAGCCGCTGTAGGACTTGGGTTTTTACTCTCAGGGACATGGGGAGTTGTGGTGGGATTTTGAACAGAGGAGTGACAGGAGCCACTCTGTTTTCAAAGGATCACTCAGGCAGCTGTGTTGAGAACAGACTATGGAGGTGCAAGGGTGGAAGCTAGAAGACCTGTTACTATTCCAGCAATGCAGGCAAGAAATGATGGTGGTAGCAGGGAAAACAATGAAAATTGGTTAGATTTCAGATATACTCTGAAGAGAAACCCACAGGAAGAAATGGGTATGGTGTTTGAGAGAAAGAAAGGAGTTGAAGCTGACTTCAAGGTTCTCTCGTGAGCAGTGAGAAGGATAGAGTTGCCATGAACTGAGATGGGGAAGGCTGAGGGGAGCACCAGCTTGGGGAGTGTATTTCCTAAGTGGAGAAGTTGAGCAGGCAGTTGGATAGACAAGTCAGGAGCTCAGAGGAGAGGTCTGGGCTAGAAGTTTAGATTTGGGAGTTCTTGGCATTCATTAAGTATTTAAAGCCATAAAATTGGATAAGAGAATAACGGTAGAGAAAGAACAGAGGGTCAAAGATTGAGCCCTGGGGCATTGCAACTTTTAGAACAGTACTGAAGAATAAAAACATAATGTGAGCCATAGTGATTTAAAATTTTCCACTAGCTGCATTTTTGGTCTGTTTATTTTTTGAGACAGTCTTGCTCTGTCACCCATGGCAGAGTACAGGGACATGATCACAGCTCACTGCAGCCTCGAATTCTTGGGCTCAAGCAGTCCTCCCACCTCCGCCACCCCAGTAGCTGGGACCACAGGCACATGCCACCATGCCTGGCCAATTTTCGTATTTCATTTTGAGGCGGGGTTTTGCCATGTTACTCAGGCTAGTCTTGAGCTCCTAGGCTTAAGCCAACCTCCTGCCTCCACCTCCCAAAGTACTGGGATTACAGGGATGAGCCACCACACCTGGCCTAGAAGCTGAATTTTTAAAGGAAAAGGAAAATTAGGTGGGCATGATGGCCATGCACCTGTAGTCCCAGCTACCTGGGAGGCTAAGACAGGAGGATCACTTGAGCCCAGGAGCTGGGGGCTATAGTGAGCCATGATCACACCATTGCACTTCAGCCTGGGTATGAGACTATGTCTCAAAAAAATGCATAAATAATATAAAACTTAAAAATAAAGAAAAAAGAAACAGGCAAAATTAATTTTAAACTTTCTTTTATTTAACCCAAGATATCTAAAATTTTACCATTTCATCATGTAAGCAACATAAAAATTCACAATGAAATATTTTACATCCCTTTTTCTCCTAGTAAGTCTTTGCAATCTTACGTGTACCGAACACTTACAGCAATCTCAATTCAGGCTAACCACATTTCTAATGCTTTATAGCGATGTGAGGCCAGTGGCTAATTCGTTGGACAGCTTAGATTGAGAGGTTTAGGAGAAGATAAACTAGCAAAGGAGATTGAGAAGGAGGAAGCTGTGAGGTAGAAAGAAAACCAAGACACCGCAGCATTCCAGAAGCCATGTGGGTAGAAGTGGTGGTAATCTGTAGAAGTTCTTTTCTGATGGTTTCCATTTTGTTAGTGAAGGAGCAAGGAAGTTTTCCTGCCCAGGGTGAGGACGTGGGAGGAGGTATTGGAGGTTTGAGGAGAGAGGACAGGGTATGAAATAGGAGAGTGAGGTGGGAGAGTGAATACACCAGGGAAGTAAGGGATGGTTGCTGGGCAGCAGGAAAACTCACTGAGATTGAGATGCATGAATTTAAAGGGAAAACAAGGCAGTGAAGCTGAATGTTTTTCTCTAGCCACAAAGATCCAGGAGGTAGAGATGGAGACTTGGATTTCACCAGGGTAATGGTTTTATGGCCTACTTCTTGATGCCACTGTGTTTTGGTTAAATTTATTCTGATTGCAGATAACAGAAATCAGCTCATACAAAAAAGGAAATTTAGAGAAAAAAATTTAGAATTTAAAAAAAGGAAATTTATTGGAAAAATTCTGGATAATTTTCAGAAATAGAAAGGTACCCAGAAAGTCAGGAAGCAGCAGGCAGTGGTCTGCACTGAGCTGCAGGTGCCCTCTCAGCATGCCTGCCTCTGCCTCCTCTTTTGCATTTCTAGCCACTACACCCCACAAGATGACCCCGCCATTGCCAGTTAGATATCACCTCACCCCCAGCCTCAGAACTCACAGTTGTCTTTGAATTTATATTATTCCATGGGCTGAATTTTGTCACCCCACAACTCATACGTCGAAGCCTTAACCCCAGGGTGATGGTGTTTGGAGACAGAGCCTTTGGGAGATAACTAGGATTAGATGAGGTCACTAGAATGGGGCCTACATGATGGGATTACTGCCCTTATAAGAAGAGACTAGAGAGCTAGCTTTCTCTCCACCAAGGAAAGGCCACAGGGAGAAAGCAACCATCTTGCAAGCCAGGCAGAGTGGCTTCTCCAGGAGCCAAGTTGGCTGGCACCGTGATAGTGGACTTCCAGCCTCCAGAACTGTGAGAAATACATTTTTGTTTAAGCCATCAAGTCTATTGTATTTTGTTATAGCAACCCACACTTACTAAGACACATTACTAAGAGAGAGAATCTGATGGAACAACCTTGGGTCAAATGGGGTGTAAGTCAAGGAAAAAGTCATAAGGGAAAGACAATGGTTAATAGTTCAAAAGATTGTTTTATATATTTGCAAAAACAGCTTCAAAGGCTGACTCCTAATGAGTGTTCAAATGAACTTTCGTAGAATATTCAGTATTAAAGGGTAATCAATATATATAGTCTCTCTCTATATATAAAACCACAACTCAAATATAAAGTGAATGCATATCAAAGATTTTATTTAACTCATTAATTAGTGAAGGGATCAGTAAAATGTTTCAACCAGTTCAAGAGAGAATTCAAAGATCACACATATAAATAGGCCAAAAAATGCATTTATAAATAGATGCAAAACTGGCTTTTTGTGGGGATGGGTGAGAGAAAAATCAATTGCCCCTCCACTAGACAAGATTCATTTTCATGTGTATAAAGCAGAATTATTTGCATTGCTATCAGTTGTTTACAACTTACAGTGTTGTAAAATAGCTTTGAGACAATGAAAGGTGCAAGTCCCATAGAATCAGATAACCTAGAAGGGTGAGCTGTACGTAAAGCATGGTTTTTCACTGAAGACATTTAGTAATTCTTTGATCCATTTCACAGCCTTTCACAATTTTTTTCTGACAACTAAAAATACCTGAGTCATTGGTAAGCACCATTTCTTCACGATTCCCTCACTGTCCATTATTTTTATGTGCTCAATATTAGTTGGAACCTTTTCATTTTTAAAAATGAAGTTTTCTATTTAATTATTTAAAGTTATATGGCACTCAGAGTCATAATTACATACAAAAAATATCAGATACCCAAATTCCTTGTAATTGTGCATAATTTTATCCTGTTAAGCCCCAAAGCTGTATTATCTCATCCATTTTGGTCTTTCTAAACCATATTAGATCTCTGCCTCATATAAAAAAAAAATGGAAAAGACTATTAATGATATGAGCAAATGCTCACAAGGTTAATATTAAACCTCAAAAAGCAGGATAAAATTGTGTTCTAGTGGATCTAAATTTTCTCCTGTGTCTTTTTTGTTTTGAGAACTTTGAAAATACAAAACATAATTACCTATATTTTTCCACCCGAGAATCAACAGCTGTTAGCAGTCACATTGTGCCGGTCTTTTTTCTTGTTGTATTACTATTTTCAGATTATGCCCTTTCCTGAGAGAATCTTATGCACCCCCCTCATTGCCACGTGACTTGCAGGACACACCCCATTTATGGCGGGTGTGGCCATCTGACTTAGTTTTGTGGGCTCTGTGCTACTTCCTAGCTGATGCTTTGGTTCTGCCACCTTTCATTTCCCTCTGCTGTGAAAACAGCGTCTTTGTAGTAGAAGCGTTTGCTTCCACTTAAATCCCAGAATAAAGAAGACACGTCGAGCAGAACCCTGGCCAATCTGCAGCTGGGTTGACCAGAGCAGTAAATACACCTGTGTGCATGTAAGCCCTTGGGGTGTGTGGAGGCTGTTTGTTACTGTGACACCACCTAGCCATGTATTTCGTTTTTAAAATGAAAGATGTGGCCGGGTGTGGTGGTTCACGCTTGTAATCACAGCACTTTGGGAGGCTGAGGCAGGAGGATCACTTCAGCCCAGGAGTTCAAGACCAGCCTAGGCAACATAGCGAGACTCTGTCTCTACAAAAAATCAAATAATTAGCCAGATGTGGTGATGGACACCTGTAATCCCAGTTACTTGGGAGGCTGAGGTGGGAGGATCACTTGAGCCCAAGAATTCGAGGCTGTAATGAGATATAATCACATCACTACACTCCAGCCTGGGCAGCAAGAGTAAGATTCTGTCTCTAAAAAAAAAATTACAGATGTGTATGTGTTGCATTTTGATTCCTACATTTTCTCCTTCAGAATTCACTTTTCTTTTTGTTCAAACAGTTCTTTCAGTGAGAGTCTGTGATTAGTAAAATTTCAGAGTTTGTGCGTCTTACTGGGCATAGATTTTTACATTTAACATTATTTTATTTCAGCATTTTCAGGATTTTATTCCGTTGCCTTTTGGCATCTGCTTATGTATGAGAAAGTCGGGAATCAATCCGATTTTTTTTTTTTTTTGAGACAGGGTCTCACTCTGTCGCCCAGGCTGGAGTGCAGTGGCACAGTCACAGGTCACTGGAAGCCTCGATCTCCTGGGTTCAAGTGATCCTCCCACCTCAGCCTCCACAGTAGCTGGGACTACAGGCACACACCACCACATCTGGATAATTTTTAAATTTTTTGTAAGCCGGGCACGGTTATTCACACCTGTAATCCCAGCACTTTGGGAGGCTGAGGCGGGTGGATCACCTTAGGTCAGGACTTCAAGACCAGCCTAGCCAACATGACAAAACCCTGTCTCTACTAAAAGTACAAAAATTAGCCAGGCATGATGGTGGGTGCTTGTAATCCCAGCTACTTGGGAGGCTGAGGCAGGAGAATTGCTTGAACGTGGAAGGCGGAGGTTGCAGTGAGCTGAGATCTAGCCATTGCACTCCAGCCTGGGAAACAAGAATGAAACTCCATGGGAAAAAAAAAAAATTTTTTTTTGTGGAGACAGGCTCTCGCCATGTTGCCCAGAACTCCTGGGCTGAAGTGATCCTCCCTCCTCAGCCTCTCAAAGTGCTGGGATTACAGGCCTGAACCACCTCACCCAGCCCAATCTGATTCTTGTTTCTTGGTAAATAATCTGTCTTCCCTCTTTAGTAGCTTTTAAGATTTCCCTTTCTTGTTTTCAAGTGTGGCTATGAGTTTTTAAACCTATTCCCTCTCTCATTTTATGTGTTTGGAGAAGGAGGAGGTTTCAACTTTGCTCCACCTGCTGTCTTGACCCAGAACTTGGTTCCTGCATGACTAAATGGAGCAGACTTGCTTTGATGGCATATACTCATTATTTTGAATCATCCACTTTTGTGTAGTGTTGCAAAAACCTCATGCCCCTCAGGCCCTGATAAAGTTTATATACCTATTTGGATTTAAGTGTCATTAACATTGGTGAATGTCTGTGTTTTTTTTAGTTCTTGTGTCTTCTTCTTCTTTTTTTTTTTTTTTTTTTTTTTGAGGCAGTCTTGCTCTGTTGCCCAGGCTGGAGTGCAGTGGTGTAATCTTGGCTCACTGCAACCTCCTCCCTGGTTCAAGCGATTCTCCTGCCTCAGCCTCCCGAGTAGCTGGGATAACAGGCACCCACCACCAAGCCTGGCTAATTTTTGTATTTTTAGTAGAGATGGGGTTTCGCCATGTTGGCCAGGCTGCTCTCGAACTCCTGACCTCAAGCAATCCACCTGCCTCGGGCCTCCCAAATTGCTGGTATTACAGGCATGAGCCACCACGACTGGCCACTTGTGTCTTCTTTTAGAGTTTTTCCCCTTCTCTTCTTTCTGGCTGTAAGCTGCCACTTGATTCCAATGTCCATATACACATCTATAGCAATATTTTGCCTGTTGCTTGGGCTCTACGCTACTCAGAATGATTCCTCCTGCTTCACTGCACAGAACAGATGTACTGTCTCTATGTCTATAGCTCCTGCCTCCAAACTCAGCTTGTGACTTCACTTTCAAAACCCACAGGATTACTCACGTGCTCTAGCAAACAATGGAATATCTCTTATGATTCCTTTTCTTTTTCCAACTAGTTCAGCAAACAAAGAGATGATATAGAAATGTATTTCTTTATTGATAGAACTCATGTACTTCATTAGTGAGGCATTGTACTTGACTTCTAATAACAAAGGCCTAAATTAAAGGACTTAATCTAATAAAAGCTTTTCTCGCCCTGTATAAAAAACTTCAGAGGTATGCAATTTGAAGCTTGTATTGTGGGCTCCTCAGTCATCTGGGCTCAAGCACTTTCTGTTTTTCTGTTTGGCCTTCCTTAACACAAAAGTTTCAAACTCAGTGGCCCTTTGTGGTCACAAGATGGCTGCTGGAGATCCAGTGATCATGACCAGGTTCTATTTATTTATGTATTTATTTTTATTTTTATTTTTTTGGGATGAAGTCTCGCTCTGTCACCCAGGCTGGAGTGCAGTGGTGCGATCTCGGCTCACTGCAACCTCTGCCTCCCAGGTTCAAGCAATTCTTCTGCCTCAGCCTCCTGAGTAGCTGGGATTACAGGTGCATGCCACCAAGCCTGGCTAAGTTTTGTATTTTTAGTAGAGACTGGGTTTCACCATGTTGATCAGGCTGGTCTCGAACTCCTGACCTTGTGATCCACCTGCCTTGGGCTCCCAAAGTGCTGAGATTACAGGCATGAGCCAATGTGCCCTGCTGGTTCTTTTTATTTTTTAAGAGATGAGGTCTTGCTACGTGCCCAGGCTGGACTCAAACTCCTGGGCTCAAGCAGTGATCCTCTTACACGTGCCGCCATGCCTGGCTGATCATAACTACATTCCAGACAGGACAAAGAGGAAAGTGAGAAGGGTGAAAAGATATGCCTACCACCAGAGTTAGCCCCTTTTAAAGTTTCCAGATGCTCTACCTCTTCCACATATATTTCTTCGGCCATCTCTAGCTGTAAGGGAGATACTTTGTTATCTCACATAAATGGAATATATTTCTTTATGCCATTGCTTTTGATTAGTCTGCAGCCTATATTAGCTTACGTCCTTGTTCTCAGCCATATTCTAGTTAGATGAGATATGACTCAATTTTTTTTTTTTTGAGTTGGAGTCTTATTCTGTTCCCTAGGCTAGAGTGCAGTGGCATGATCATGGCTCACTGCAAGGCTGGGCGTGGTGGCTCACGCCTGTAATCTCAGCACTTTGGGAGGCCGAGGCGGGCGGATCACAAGGTCAGGAGTTCGAGAACAGCCTGGCTAACATAGTGAAATCCCATGTCTACTAAAAATACAAAAAAATTAGCCAGGCGTGGTGGCGGGCACCTTTAATCCTAGCTACTCAAGAGGCTGAGGCAGGAGAATCGCTTGAACCTGGGAGGCGGAGGTTGCAGTGAGCCGAGATTGTGCCACTGCACTCCAGCCAGGGTGACAGTGCGAGACTCTGTCTCAAAAAAAAAAAAAATTAATAATGGCTCACTGCAACTTGGAACCCCTGGGCTCAAGCAGTCCTTCCACCTCAGCTTCCTGTGTAGCTGGGATTACAGGTGCATGCCACCATGCCTGGCTAATTTTTAAGTGTTTTGTAGAGGTAAGGTCTTGCTATGTTGCCCTGGCTGGTCTTGAACTTCTGGCCTCAAGTGATCCTCCCACCTTTGGCCTCCCAAGTGCTGTACCAATTTTAAAAAGAAATGTAAATGTTTTTATTTTCATGGCCCTTGGCTGTTTTCAAAGATCATATCAATAACTGTAAAATGGATAAAACACTCACCATCAAAATCATTGAAGGTAGCTAACTTGAAATGCCATCCAGGAACCACTGTAGAATTGGCAACATTGACTCACACTCTTCTCAGTTAGTTCAATTCCACCTTTACTGGGTGCCTATAGCGCTGGCCAGGCACCAGTTACCTGTGGTGAATACAGGAACAATCAAGATTGCCCTGTCCTTGAAGAGTTCCATTTTAGTGCCTTACAAGTAACTGAAGGCAGCGGGAAGCCACCAGTGGTTTTACACAGAGCCAAAAAGTGATCACCTCTATATCTTTGAAAGACAGCTCAGACTACATACGGTGAGTGGGAAGAGTACAGAGGATTGAGGCAGGGGATTTTGTTCTAGAGGCCAAATATTGTTCTGCATTGCTGTGTCATTGCTGTCTGTTAATTGCACCCCACGTTCCGCACCACTTGCCTCATCTATCCCAGAATCTTATCCCTCACCTTTAGATTTTTCTCACCTCAAACCTTCAGTTCCATACCCACCCTACCAGAAGTTCAGGGATAGTCAAAGTGGCTTTCTGAGATCAAGAGTCCACAATGTCTTCATGAATCCATTCTTTGCACATTTACGAAGCTCTGCATATGCTCTGGGCTCTGCGCTATGGGCTAGAGTTGCAAAGGTGGATCAGACTCAATTCTTGCTTCCAAGGCAGGGACAAAGTTTTTTGCTTCTCTTTCTACTTGAAGAGTATTAAGAATCTAAACTGATCTTGGCTAGAGAAGGCAGATAGAGGAGACGGGTGGAGCAAGAATCAGAACAAAAAATGGGTAGCCTGGGATTGATAGCCATGAAATCAGGAGGGCAGATTTGTCCTCAGGGCCCAGTAGTACTTTTCTCTGAAGCCAGAGACGGCCTCCTTCCCTTCCTTTTTCCCTTCTTGCTCCTCTGGTCTCCTCACAGCCAAGCCTGGCTTCCATTCAAACTTTCCGGAAATCCCCTACCCAATTTCCAGCTTTTCAAACAATGACTCTCTGGAGAATATTCCCATTGTCCTTGGAATTAGAACAATGAGAGAGTAGAGCCTCCTCTCTGGCTTCAGACTACATCCCTGCTCCCAGCCAGCCTCCCACCAAAGTAAAAGCTTCCTCGACTCTCCAATCGCTGTTCCCATCTGTAGTGAGGCAGAAAGACAGGGGAAGTATAAGAAAAAGCATTTTCTACAAGTCAACCCAGCCCCTTAAGCACTACCTGGTGCCTTTCTTCTCCCAGCTAGAACTGAGAAGAATCTCTCTACAGGACTGGGATTGGACACCTGCCTATGCTCTGGGTTGGCAAGCAAGCTCCGGGTTTGACTGCTGTGTTTTCTAAATCTCTCTCTCTCTCTTTCTTTTCTTTTTTTTTCTGAGACATAGTCTTGCTCTGTCGCCCAGGCTGGAGTGCAGTGGCGCCATCTCAGCTCACTGCTGCAACCTCCGTCTCCCGGGTTCAAGCGATTCTCCCACCTCAGCCTCCTAAGTAGCTGAGATTACAAGCACCCACCACCATGCTGGGCTAATTTTTGTATTTTTAGTAGAGATGGGGTTTCATCATGTTGGCCAGGCTGGTCTCGAACTCTGGACCTCAAGTGATCCGCCTGTCTTGGTCTCCCAAAGTGCTGGGATTACAGGCGTGAGCCACCGTGCCAGCCTCTAAATCTCTTTTGATGCCTCAGTTTCCCCCCATCATTGAGGTGAGAGGACCCAGAGGCCATTCTGAAGGGATTGGCAGTCTAATTTTCCTCACTGCCTACTCCTCTTCCACTCCCTACTCTGACCCTAGGAGACTCCTGTCCCCTTTCTACCCAGTTCAGCCAAAAGCGCTGCTGGATGGGGAGGGTGCAGGCGGGGCTTTTCTTGCACCATCCTGGCGCCTGACTGGGTCAAGTTACTGGAGGCAGTCTGGATTTGAATGTGCAAATAAACAGAGGTTGCTTTGATCCTTGAGGCTGACAGGGAGGGGGAAGAAAACGGAGTGCCCTGGTCAGAGAAGTGCATGCTGGGCACTTGAAAGAGGGTTTGGGGGATGTGGAGCATGAGCTTGTCCTTATTCCTTTGACTGGACCAAAAACCTAATTTGTTAAAAAAAAAAAAAAATAGAGAGATCTTGAAAGAGTCAGGGACCCACATCAGACATTTCAGACCTCCTCTGGGAACCAAATATTCCAATGGCCTTTCTGCCTTGTCACCAGGAGGGGAGTGGGTTGCTTGAAGCCCACCCTCCCTCAAGGCTCTCTTGCCTTTGGGACATCTTGGGTGCCACTTGGGAGAAGGAGAAGCAGGATGGAACTATGAGGTGTGTGTGGTTCGGGGTGGGGCTGTAGGTTGGGAGGGGGTAGGGCCTATTGTCTCCCTGGGCACCAATCCACAGCCACAGGCAGGCTTAGAGACGGAGAGACAAAGGAGGGAATGGGAGAGCACAAAGGGAGCGGGAATGAAATGGTAAGTAAAGGCAAACAAAAGTGAGCCGGGGGAGACAAAAGCTGGGAACAATATTCCCCAGGCAATAGGCTCGGGAACAATAGGGACACTGACAGCCCCACAAAGACACCAGTGTCTCCAAGTAGACGTTATCTCAGGCAGTGGTTGGCAGCCCCACTCTGGCTGCAGCTATTTTCAGTGCCGCTTTTGTGCCATGCTGAACAATATTCCTTGCATGGCTGCTGATAGAAAGATGAGAAGGTTTCTGTTTGATTCTTCTCTTCCTTCCCTCCCCCCTCCCCTTTTTCCAGCCCCCACCAGCTCCAGGCAGTCTGAGCTCAAGTCTCTGGCCTGGTTAGGGGTGTGTGTGTGTGTGTGTGTGTGTGTGTGTGTGTGTGTGTGTGTGTGTTGGGAAGAGACCAAGTGGGGAGGGTCTCTATCTGGGCTTCCAGTTGCCCTCAATCTTATCAGGGCCTCCATGGAGGGAAGCTAGTAGAGTGGAGATTAGGGCTGGGCCAGTGGGGCTGAGAACTGAGGTGTGCGAGGAGGATCATCAGGGCAGTGGATTCTGCCCTTGCCCCAAATCACAAGACCAGCCTGAGTGAGTGACTATAAAAAGCCCTGCTTAGCAAAGGTTTTGCCTGTTGCTTGGCTATTCACATACATAATAGCCAAGGCCATAAGGGGTCCACCCTGTCATTCCACCCCTTCCTCCTTTGTGCCCACAAGTGTTCCCCACTCTACCCCCATAGCCACTGCTTTCTCCCATTCTTGTTTGTAGTTTTACCAGCCCCTTGACTAGCTCCCAACTTCCCTCCCCACCTCCGCCACTGCCAGATGAACCTAAGAGATCGGGGAAACTAGTCCTAGCTTGGGAAAAGACTGGTATGCACTGGCCCTTCCTTAGGCCTGATGGCCACTCCCACAGGGGTGTCCATGATCTTCATCCACAGTGCTGCTATTCCCCACCAAGTATCTCCCCTGTGTTCCTCCCTAGAGGAACTCTGACCCTAGAACATTGAGTCAGAGGTGTCCTTTCCCAGGGCCCCCTTGTGCATACGGCTGGTGTACTCTTAGTTTTCTCAGTATCTTAGCCCACTATGGCTGCCCCCGTGGGCTTAGATAAACTTTACAGTTTTTCGTCTAGCTGGTCTTCTTCTCCATATTACTATTCTATTCAGGTTATTTTGCTAGGTGGCTAAACTACTAAATTTCAGTTCTCTGACTTCCTCAAAAAAAAAGAGACCAAATTTCTTGGGAAGGCATTTATATAAAAATTTTGGCCAGGTGCTGTGGCTCACACCTGTAATCCCAGCACTTTGGGAGGCTGAGGCAGGCGGATCACGAGGTCAAGAGATCAAGACCATCCTGGCCAACATGGTGAAACCTCATCTCTACTAAAAATAACAAAAATTAGGCCGGGCATGGTGGTTCATGCCTGTAATCCCAGCACTTTGGGTGGCTGAGGCGGCCAGATCACGAGGTCAAGAGATCCAAACCATCCTGGCCAACATGATGAAACCCCTTCTCTACTAAAAACACAAAAATTAGCTGGGCGTGGTGGCATGCACCTGTAGTCCCAACTACTGGGGAGGCTGAGGCAGGAGAATCGCTTGAACCTGGGAGGCGGAAGTTGCAGTAAGCCGAGATCATGCCATTGCACTCCAGCCTGGATGACAGAGCCAGACTCCGTCTCAAAATAAATAAATAAATAAATAAAAATACAAAAATTAGCTGGGCATGGTGGCATGCACCTGTAGTCCCAGCTACTCAGGAGGCTGAGGAAGGAGAATCACTTTAACCTGGGAGGCAGAAGTTGCAGTGAGCCAAGATCACACCACTGCACTCCAGCCTGGCGACAGAGTGAGACTCCGTCTCAAAAAAAAAAATTTTCAAGCACAATGCTGTCCTGAGTCTAGACACTCAGGTTGACCCAGAAGGTTGAGTCATTGTGTAATCTGTGGGACTTGTGGCTATTTGTCCAGTGTTTTTTTTGTTTGTTTGTTTTTTTGTTTTTTTTTTTTCGAGATGGAGTCTCATTCTTGTTGCCCAGGCTGGAGTGCAATGGCATGATCTCAACTCGCTGCAACCTCTGCCTCCCAATTTCAAGTGATTATCCCACCTCAGCCTCCCGAGTAGCTGGGATTACAGGCACCTGCCACCATGCCCAGCTAATTTTTGTATTTTTAGTAGAGACGGGGTTTCACCATGTTGGCCAGGCTGGATATTTGTCCAGCTTTCTAAATATAAGTTCGCTTTTTGAAGGCAGAAAACACTTTCATACCTCTATTGGCTACTTCATGGCATCATGGTACACAATGAGTTCTTAATGAACACTTGCTGAATTGGACTGAATTTAGAGAATCAGAAGGGACCTTAAAGCTCATCTAATACCTTACTACTCAAAATGTTGTCTCTGGCTCAGCAGCATCAGCATCACCTGAGAACTTGATAGAAATGCAGAATCTCAGACTTCCTGAATCAGCATCTGCATTTTAACAAGCTCCCCAGGTAATCCATATGCTCCTGAAGACACAGACAACTGGTCTAGTACAGCTACTGCCTCCCTGCCTTCCCCAAACTACTACCTGTTTTATAACATTATCACCATCCATCACCTAGAATCTTAGAAACCATGAGCCAGACTAGGCCATCCAGCTGGCAACTACAGAAAGACCTCGGTGGACATGAGCTTACTATCTGTGGTAACAGTCAGTTCCATGGTTGGAATAAAATCATATGGAACAGAATTAAATTTGCATGAAACAGCCTTGGGAATGGGACTTTGCACTTAGTATATACTCAATCAAAGACTGTTGAGGAAAAGGTCTAAATAATCTATTATTACCTCTCTTGAATGATTACTATGATAGTTCATTTTATGTGTCAACTTGACTGGGACATGAGGTGCCCAGACATTTGGTCAAACATTATTCTGGGCATGCCTGTGGAAGCATTTCTGGATGAGATAAACATATGAATCAGAAGACTGAGTGAAGCAGATTCTCTTCCCTAATATGGGTAGGCCTTATTCAGTCAAAAGCCTGAATAGAACAAAAATGCTCAGTAAAAGGGAATTTTGTCTGTCTGACTGCTTGAGCTAGGATATTGGTCTTCTGCCTTTGGACTCTAATGGAAACATAAGCTCTTTGTGGGTCTCAATCTTGACTTTTGGACTTGAATTTACACCACTTGCTGTCTGGTTCTCAGGCCTTCAGACTTGGACTAGAACTACACCATTGCTGTCTTAGGTCTCTAGATTGCTGACTGCAGATTTTGCAAATTCTTAGCCTCGATAATCACATGAACCAATTCCCCTAATACCTCTTTCTTGCCCTGTTTCTCTCTCACATCACAGACACACACACACACACACACACACACACACACACTGTTTGTACTGTTTCCCTGGAGAACTCTGGCTGATACATTTTTTTGGTAGTGAGACATGAGGTAGTGCTGTAACAAATATCTAAACATGTAGAAGTGGCTTTGGAACTGGGTAATGGGTAGAAGCTGCAAGATTTTTGAAGTGCACACTAGAAACATAGATGTTAAGGGTAATTCTGGTGAAATGTCAGACAGAAATGAGGATCATGTTACTGGAAACTGGAGCAAAGGAAACCTGTTATAAAATGGTGAAGAAGACTGGGTGTGGTGGCTCACGCCTGTAATCCCAGCACTTTGGGAGGCTGAGGTGGGCAGATCACTTGAGGCCAGGAATTTGGGACCAAACTGGCCAACATGGTGAAACCTTGTCCATCTCTACTAAAAATACAAAAATTAGTGGAGTGAGGTAGCACACACCTGTAGTCCCAGCTACTTGGAAGGCTGAGGCATGAGAATTGCTTGAACCCAGAAGGCAGAGGTTGCAGTGAGCCAAGATGATACCACTGCACTCCAGCATGAGTGACAGAGAAAGACTCTGTATCAAAAACAAATAAATAAATAGAGTGGTGAAGAACTTGGTTAAAGAGGGTTTTGTGAAAAGTAGAACTTGTGAGCAATATAACTGGATATTTAGCCAAGGAGATTTCTAAGCAGAGTATTGAAGGAGCAACTTTGTTCCTCCTGACTGCTTACAGCAAAATGGGAAAGGAGAGAAATTAGTTGAAGAAGGAATTGTTAAGCATAAAGGAACCAGAAATAGAGGATTTGGGAAAGTCTATCCATACTGAAAAAAAAAAAAACAAGAAAGAAAAAAGAAAAAGCTTATTCTGAAAAGAAAACTGAAACTAAAACTATTTGATAAAGAGGTCATGAGTAAGACTCATAAACTTCATCAACCATCTTAGCAAAAGCCAGGAATAGAGATGGAATTATACCAGCAAAGACACTGACAGTTTGAACCAAATAAAGTGGAAAGAGAAAACAAGATGAAATGAAAGAAGGCTATTGGACTTCTTAGATCCTTATTCTGCAAGTAAAGTGAAGAATGACCTCAAAGGTGATTCAGATACCATCAGGGCTGCCTCCTTGGTTTCAAAGTGGGGGGGTGATTGCCTCAGTTTCAAGTGGCCAGACAGCCACTGACTGAAGCCTTGTGGGTGGGGCCACACTGTGGAGCCCTGAGGGTGTAAATCCCTGTGGGTGCAGAGCTGTGGAGGCGAGACTGCTTCCCTAGTAGGTCCTAAATGTGGGACAGACTCCCCAGTGGGTCTGAAAGGCGGAGCATTGAGCCAAAGAGCATTATTCTTCAGGCTTAAAATTTAGTAGAATTTGACTTGCTAGATTTTGGACTTGCTTGGGATCATCATCCCTTTCTTCCCTCCAGTTTCTCCCTTTTGGAATGGGAATGTCTATCCTATGGCTGTCCACCATTGTATTTGGAAGTATGTAACTTGTCTGGTTTCACAGGCTCACAGCTGGAGAAGAATTTTGCCTGAGGATGAATGTACTGCAAGTCTCACCCATATCTGATTTAGATGATATTTAGATGAGACTATGGACTTTAGAATTGATGCTGGAATGTGTTAAGAGTTTAGGGAAGATGTAAATATAACAAAAGTTTAAAAAAGAAGATGTAAATATAATAAATTTTTTAAAAAAATTTTTAATTGGTATACAAGCCAGGTGCAGTGGCTCACGCCTGTAATCCCAACACTCTGGGAGGCCAAGGCGGGTGGATCACTTGAGGTCAGGAGTTTGAGACCAGCCTGGCCAACATGGTAAAACCCTGTCTCTACTAAAAATACAAAAGTTAGTCAGGTGTGGTGGTGGGCGTCTGTAATACCAGCTACTTGGGAGGCTGAGACATGAGAATCACTTGAACCTGGGAGGCGAAGGTTGCAGTGAGCCAAGATCTTGCCACTGCACCCCAGCCTGGGTGAGAGGGCAAGACTCCATCTCGAAAAAAAATTTTTTGTTGTTTTTTTATTTGTTTTTGTTTTTTGAGACGGAGTCTTGCTCTGTTGCCAGGCTGGAGTGCAATGGTGTGATCTCGGCTCATTGCAACCTCCACCTCCCAGGTTCAAGCGATTCTCCTGCCTCAGCCTCCCCAGCAGCTGGGACTACAGGCACGCACCACCACACCAAGCTCATTTTTGTATTTTTAGTAGAAACAGGGTTTTACCATGTTGGCCAGATGGTCTCAATCTCTTGACCTCATGATCTGCCTGCCTCGGCCTCCCAAAGTGCTGAGATTACAGGTATGAGCCACTGTGCCCAGCCAAAAAATATTTTTTTTAATCAAAATTAAAAATTGGTGTCCAAGAAGATGTAAGTATAATAAAATTTAAAAATAAATTTAAAAATTTTTAAAAAGATTTTTTGAGGCTGTTGGGATGGAATAAATATATTCTACATGCAATAAGAACATGAATTTTTTTGTGGGGGTCAGGGGCAGAATGCTATAGACTGAATTGCAAATGTTGGAATCCTAACCTTCAGTGTGACTGCATTTGGAGTAAGGAAATAATCAAGATTAAATGAGGTCATAAGGGTGGAGCCCTGATAGGATTAGGATCCTTGTAAGAAGAGGCACCAGAGAGCTCACTCTTTCTCTCCCTGCCATGTGAGGACATAGTGAGAAGGTGGCCATCTGTAAGCCTGAAAGAGCCCTCACCAGAAACCGATCCTGCAAGAACTTGGTCTGGGACTCCCAGCCTTCAGAACTTCGAGCAATTAAATATCTGTTGATGAAGCCACCCAGTCTGTGGTATTTTGTTATGGCAGCCCTAGCCGACTGATATACTCCATAATGATGGAAAGAAGGAGAGGCTACTAAGCCTGAAGCAGGCTTGCACAGGGTGGACTGAGGGCTCTGAAGGGCCTCACAGTAGAGTACACACAGAATCTCATTATTCTTCCAAAGTAGAGGTGGTAATATTTCCTCTTTTCCTTTGATGTCCTTGGCACAAACCAAGACAACAGCAGAGTGAGCCATGTGGAGCTGCTGTGTGCCCCACACAAAGCAATTCCCAGGCAGGGATAGGTACCCAAGACCATTACAATTATCCCAAATCAAAACTCTTTTCTTAGATTTTGCTGCTATTGTTCCGATAATGGTGGTATTTTCCCCACTTTCGGAGGTGGGGGGCAGGAACTTACCAATGAATAGAATCAAATTTTTACAATTAGAAATTAAAATTTTTTTCTCCCATAGATTAGCAGAAAACAAAACACCTCTATTGGTGCTCACTTATAACAAGCATCATTCACGTGGTTGTTTGAAACCTAATGTGTTAAATTGTATCAGGGCCTGTAAAGACCATCATGACTACTATATACTCAACCAATCCAAACAGATTTATGAAACATTGCAGAGTGTTTATTTGACTGTCTTTCTCTATCAAACCAGTCAATTCCCTCCAATAAAATAAATAGCAGTGGTAATTTCTGATCTATGGACAGTCATGTTTTGGGAGGAGAGGAGAGTGGTTGGGGCTGGTAATCTATTTTCTAGCCAAACTGGAAAATCAGCTTTTCAGAAGTTTCCTCCTGACTCCTCCCACCCCCACTCCCCACATCAAGGGAGGGCAGAGAAGGAAAAAGATATTAAGGTTTGGATTAAACCACCATTGTGCATATTTATAATTCATTCTGAACAACAGAGGACAAGGATAGAGGCTTTAAAAAAAATTCAGTAATCAGCAGCAGCGACAGCAGCCCCTGTGCTCTTAGCTCTCCTTATCCACATAAGACAGCCTTTGGACAGGCCTGAGATAACAAGAGCCTTGTGTGCTCTATCACCCCTTCAGCATGTTCATATGTGTTTTCTGACATGGCCTGAGCATCCCAGACCAGCTGCCTCTGATGCATGGGAAGGTCCCTTGGCTGATGCATGCACAGTGCGAGCACAGAGGAGGGCACCATCTTCCAGAGTGAAAACAATCCTGTGGGCCAGTCGCGGTGGCTCATGCTTGTAATCTCAGCACTTTGGGAGGCTGAGGCGGGCGGATCACCTGAGGTCGGGAGTTCGAGACCAGCCTGACCAACATGGAGAAACCTCATCTCTACAAAAAATACAAAATTAGCTGGGCATGGTGGCGCATGCCTGTAATCCCAACTACTCAGGAGGCTGAGGCAGGAGAATCGCTTGAACCCAGGAGGCGGAGGTTGCGGTGAGCCGAGATTGCGCCACTGCACTCCAGCCTGGGCAACAAGAGCAAAACTGTGTATCAAAAAAAAAAAAAAAAATCCTGTGAAATCGAGGCAGCCAGTGCCGCACAATGGCTCAGAGTTCCTGTGGAAGTTCAACACAGGGGAAATTAAATTACTGCAGAGGTGGTGTAGGATGGGGAGGTGGGTGCTTACTCAGAGAATGTGAGGGAAATCCCAAGGCCTCTGGGCTCATTAAGGCTTAGTCCATTCAGGCTGCTATACCAAAATATCATGGACTAGGCAGCTTATAAACAACAAAAATTTATTTCTCACAATTCTGAAGGCTGGGAAGTCCAAGATCAAGTTTCTGGCAGATGCAGTGTCTGGTGAGGCACCGCTTCCTGGTTCATAGACAGCTGTTTTTTTGCTATAACCTCACATAGCAGAGTGGGGCGACGGACCTTTTTTGAGGCTTCTTTTATAAAGGCACTAATTCCATTCATGAGGGCTCCACCCTCATGACCTAATCACCTCCCAAAGGCCCCACCTCCTAATAGGATAAACTTGGGGGCTAAGATTTCAACAGTGGCTGGGTACAGTGGAACACACCTATAATCCCAGCCACTCGAGAGGCTGAGGTGGGAGGATTGTTTGAGGCTACAGTGCACAATGATCCTGCCTGTGAATGGACACTGCACTCCAGCCTGGGCAACATAACAAGACGCCATCTCCAAAAAAAGAAAAAAAAAAAAAGAAGTAATGAAGTTTGAGGGAACACAAACATTCAGATCATGGTAGGAGATGAGGAGAGGGTGACCAAGAGAGAAAAAGCCTTTTGAGTTGTGGAAGGTAGAGAAGGGATTCCAGTTTGTGCTGGTGAATGTGCAAAGCGCATGTAAAGTAACCATAGGCTTGAGCTCTGATTTTAGAATTAATAATACAGTATGTTTTTGTTTTGTCACGGACTCTAATTAGACCTCTAGAGCTAGTTATAGCATCGTTGCACCCTCCTACCCTTTTGATATCGTTTGGATCTGTGTCCCCACCCAAATCTCATGTTCAGTTGTAATCCCCAGTGTTGAAGGTGGGGCCTGGTGGGAGATGATTGGATCATGGGGGTGGATCCTTCCTGAATGGGTTAGCACCCTCCCTTTTTGGTCCTGTTCTTGGGACAGAGTTCTCATGAGACCTGGATTTCTCTCTCTTCCTCCTGTGAAGGAGCCTGCTTCCAGCCATGTGAAGATGCCTGCTGCAGCCTCGCCTTCTGCCTTGAATAAAAGCTCCCTCAGGCCTCCCCAGAAAAAGATGCTGCCATGCTTCCTGTACAGCCTGCAGAACAGTGAGTCAATTTAATCTCCTTTCTTTATGAATTAGCCACTCTCGGGCAATTCTCTGTAGCAGTGTGAAAAAAGACTAATACCTCATCCCCTGACCACATATCCTCCCCTCACCCAACGCACAGCTGGAATCAGGTGTGTTGTCAGCCTCCCCTGTAAAGGTTCATTTCCAGTTGGTATACAGGGGGTTCACAGAGACTGGCATCTGAATGATACTGCCTGGAATGAGCAGTGATGGGGCCCAGTTCATTTCCACTTCTCAAATTGATGCTCCATCAGTGAGGCACAAAAGTCATCCCCACTCCCTTCCACCAGTCCCAGACCATACTGTCTAGATGGCTCATTGCCTATGTAGTGGCTCTGCCTGATACCTTTGCAGGAGAAATGTAATGTTAGCCTACCTTCACTTTTAGGAGGTACTAATTTAGGGTATGATGGTGGACTAGGTATTCAATACCAAGGGCTATTCTTCTAGGTAAGAAGTTTTAAATTTTGAGTCAAAACTGTCCTTTACTTTAAAATTCTGTTTAAAACTCAGGCATTCTAGAATTAATTCCCTGATTAAACTGGCCAAGACATGATCATTGAACACTGCCCTATTCTTGGGACTCATTGCTTACTATTATCTTTGCCATATATATCTTTACTCTCAAGTTTTTCTTTCCTGTACCCATTCCTGGTCTGACTTTTCTCCACGAGCAATCCTGCGGCTTTCATTAGGCATTGAGCTATGTGATGAAAGAGGCCTTATCTAGTCCTGCCTCAGGAACAAAACCAATTTAAAAAATAATTTTCAACAGCCATTGTATGCAAGACACAGTCCTAAGATGAGGACTGGAAGATGAGCAAAGGATACAATAATTGGAAGTAGTTTAGAGCTAGTTGGAGAGATAGACATAGGTGTAATGTGAACTAATATTATGTGATGTCAACTTAGTAACTCAAGATGGCAATAAAATAGAAGTGAGAATTCCATTACATACCTATTAAAATGGTCAAAATCCAGTTACATCACCAAATGCTGATGAGGATGTGGAGCAATCCTCATTTACTGCTGGTGAGAATGGGAAATTGTATGGCCTCTTTGGAAGACAGTTTGGCAATTTCTTACAAAACTAAGCACATTCTTCCCAGATGATCCAGAAACTGCACTCCTTTGAATTAATACAAAGGAGTTGAAAATCGATGACCATACAGAAACCTGCACATGGATATTTATAGCAGCTTTTTTCATAATTGTCAAAACTTGAAAGCAACCAAGATCTCCTTCAGTAGGTAAATGGTTCAATAAACTGTGGTACAGCCAAACAATGGAATATTATTTAGCACTAAAAGGATATGAACTATCAAGCCATGAAAAGGAAAACTTAAGGCTGGGCGCGGTGGCTCATGCCTGTAACACCAGCACTTTGGGAGGCCAAGGCAGGCGGATCACGAGGTCAGGAGATCGAGACCATCCTGGCTAACATGGTGAAACCCCGTCTCTACTAAAAATACAAAAAATTAGCCAGGCATGGTGGTGGGCGCCTGTGGTCCCAGCTTACTTGGGAGGCTGAGGCAGGAGAATGGCATGAACCCGGGAGGCGGAGCTTGCAGTGAGCCAAGATCGCACCACTGTACTCCAGCCTGGGCAACAGAGCGAGACTCTGTCTCAAAAAAGAAAAAAAAAAAGAAAAGGAAAACTTAAATGCATATTACTAAATAAAAAGAAAACATGAAGGAAAGTTGAATGCATATTGCTAAGTTAAAAAAAAAAAAGCCAATCATAAAAGGCTACATACTCTATGTTTCCAACAATATGACATTCTGGAAAAGGCAAAACTATGGAGGGGGTGAATAGGCAGAACACAGAGGATCTTTGAGGTGGTGAAACAATTCTGCATGACACCATAATGGTGGATACATATAACTATACGTTTGTCCAAACCCATAGAATCTACAATACCAAGAGTGAACTCTAATGTTAACTACAGTCTTTGGGCGATAATAATGTGTTGATACAGGCTCAAAATTGTAGCAAATGTACCATTCTGGTATGGGATGTTAATAATGGGGGAGGCTGTGATGTGTGGAGGCAGGGGGCTTCTGGGAACTGTCTATACCTTCTTCTGAATTTTGCTGTGAATGTAAAACTGCTCTAAAAAAATAAAATCTATTTTTTTTTAAGTGAGAAGGAAGCATATGAATGTTCAGAGAAGATAAAGTCTATGTACGCCATAAAGGAGACAATGGAAAAGGGGCCTTGAAGTAAAGGTGGAATTGGCCAGGCAAGAAGGATAAAGAAGACTATTATAGCCCTGGAAAATAGTATAAACAAAGACAGTCAGTTCTGCTCTAAGTCTTGTTTTGAAAACATGAATTTGTTCCAACCCAATTCATATATTAGGGAGCAATCTAAGTGTAATACAGATTTTGCATTTGCTGGTGCATGGTTTTTCCCTGAGAAACACCAGATGAATGGAGAAAACTCTACTGAGCTGAACCAAACAGGGCAGAAGTACACAAAATGTACACAAGGACACCTCTCAAATTCCTACCACCTGAGTTTACAGGGTGTGTTAGAAACCCTCTTTCCACCACTTCATAGGAACTCATAAGCTGCACCCCTTCCAACGACCAGCTCCATATACAAAATTAATGTCTGTTTCAGGATACTCTGCCATATTTATTGCAGCATGTATCTATTTCTTAACCATTTAATGTGTGAACTGTGCTACAACTTTATTAGATTCCTATCTTTTTTGTTGTTATATTGACAAAACTTCTCAATGTTGTAACCTCTAACTATTTTTCCCATTAGCCCTATAGTTTTGTTTTTGTTGTTGTTGTTTTGTTTTGTGAGATGGAGTCTTGCTCTGTTGCCAGGCTGGAGTGCAGTGGCACAATCTCGGCTCACTGCAACCTCTGCCTCTGGGGTTCAAGCAATTCTCCTGCCTCAGCCTCCTAAGTAGCTGGGATTACAGGAGCATGCCACCACCCCTGGCTAATTTTTGTATTTTTAGTAGAGACGGGGTTTCACCATGTTGGCCAGGATGGTCTCCAACTCCTGACCTTGTGGTCCACCCACCTCGGCCTCCCACAGTGTTGGGATTACAGGCGTGAGACCAGACAGCCCTATAGTTGTTCTTGGCATGGTTTTTGCATAACAGGGTGATTTTAGGAGCATAGATGTTGTGCTATAGCAAAACTGACTGCAGGGGTTATGGAATAAAAATCTTGGAGAACTGTAAGTATTCATTCATTTATGTATTCATTTGACCAATATTTGTTGAGTGCCTCCTATATGCTAGACTCTGTTCTGAGTGATGGAGATATGGCAGTGAAAAAAACCGACATAAGGCCAGGTGCAGTGGCTCACGCCTGTAATCCCAGCACTTTGGGAGGCCGAGGCGGGTGGATCACAAGGTCAAGAGATTGAGACCATCCTGGCCAACATGGTGAAACCCCGTCTCTACTGAAAATACAAAAATTAGCTGGGTGTGGTGGCGCACGCCTGTAGTCCCAGCTACTTGGGAGGCTGAGGCAGGAGAATCACTTGAACCCGGGAGGTGGAGGTTGCAGTGAGCTGAGACTGCGCCAGCCTGGCAAAAGAGCAGGACTCTGTCTCAAAAAAAAGAACAGACACAAATTCCTGCCCTCCAGGAATTTACATCCTAGTTGGGGAGATAAACAAAAACAAGATAAATAAATGAAATAGGCTGGGCCGGTGGCTCACGCCTGTAATCCCAACACTTTGGGAGGCCGAGGTGGGCAGATCATGAAGTCAGGAGCTCATGACCAGCCTGACCAACATGGTGAAACCCCATCTCTACTAAAAATACAAAAATTAGCTGGGCGTGGTGGTGCGCACCTGTAATCCCAGCTACTCAGGAGGCTGAGGCAAGAGAATCGCTTGAACCTGGGAGGTGGAGGTTGCAGTGAGCTGAGATCGCCACTGCACTCCAGCCTGGGCAACAAGAGTGAGATTCTACCTCAAAAAATAATAATAAATAAAAATAAATAAATAAATATATAGTGTGTTAGGTACTAATCAATGTCAAGAAGAAAAACATAAAGCAGAAGAGTTGATATGACATGTCAGGGGATGGGTTTGGCTATGATGTCTGTATTAGTTATTGCTACATAACAAATGATCCCAAAACTTAACAGCTGAGAACAATAAGCATTTATTCTCTCTCATAGTTTTTTTTTTTTTTTTTTTGAGACAGGATCTTGCTCTGTTGCTCAGGCTGTAGTGCAGTGGCATGATCTTGGCTCACTGCAGCCTCCACCTCCCAGGTTCAAGCGATTCTTATACCTCAGTCTTCCAAGCAGCTGGGACTAAATAGGTGTGCACCACCATGCCCAGCTGTTTTGTATTTTTAGTAGAGATGGGGTTTCACCATATTGCCCAGGCTGGTCTGGAACTCCTGACCTCAAGTGATCCACCCACCTCAGCATCCCAAAGTGCTGGGATTACAGGCATGAGACACCACGCCCGGCCTCATATAGTTTCTGAGGGTTAGGAAGACAGGAGTGGCTTACCTGGAGTGGCTCTGGCTCAGGATCCTTCATGAGATCGTAGTCAAGGTATTGGCTGTGAACTTCCATGCTTACTCGCATGGCTGTTGGCAAGAGGCTTCAGTTCCCTGCCCCACCAGAGGACTGCCCATGATATGGCAGCTTGTCTTCCCCAGAGAGAAGGCTTCTGAAGGGAGAGGTGACCTGCCCAAGATGGAAGCTGCACTCTTTAAAAAAAAAAAAAAATTCTTTTTCTTTTTTACTTTTGTAGAGACAGGGTTTTGCCATGTTGCCCAGGCTGGTTTCAAACTCCACCTGCTTTGGCCTCCCAGTGTTGGGATTATAGGTATGAGCCACCACACCAAGCCCTGCAATCTTTTACAACCTGGTATCAGTGGTGTCATGATATGGTTTGGATGTGTGTCCCTGCCCAAATCTCATATGGAAATGTAATCCCCAATGTTGAAGGTGGGGCCTGGAGGGAGGTGATTGGATCATGGGGTGGATTTCTCATGAATGGCTTGGCACCATCCCCGCTGGTACTGTCCCTGTGGTAGTGAGTGAGTTCTCATGAGTTCTGGTCATTTAAAAATGTGTAGCACCTCCTCCCTCACTCTCTTGCTCCTGCTCCGATCATGGGAAGTGCTCACTCCCCCTTTGCCTTTGGCCATGGTTGAAGTTTCCTGAGGCTTCCCCAGTAGCAGAAAGCTGTTATGCTTCCTGTACAGCCTACAGAACCATGAGCCAATTAAACTTCTTTATAAATTACCCAGCCTCAGGTATTTCTTTTTTTAAATTTTAATTTAATTTAATTTAATTCTTTTGAGAGAGAGTCTCATTCTGTCACCCAGGCTGGAGTACAGTGGTGCTATCTTGGCTCACTGCAACCTCCATCTCCCAGGTTCAAGCGATCCTCCTGCCTCAGCCTCCCGAGTAGCTGGGACTACAGGCATGAGCCACCATGCCTGCTAATTTTTGTATTTTTAGTAGACAGAGTTTCATCATGTTGGCCAGGCTGATCTTGAACTCCTGACCTCAAGTGATCTGCCTGCCTCAGCCTCCCAAAGTGCTGGGATTACAGGCATGAGTCGTGGCGCCCAGCCAGGTGTTTCTTTATTGCAATTCGAGAATGGACCAATACATAGCCTAATAGCACTTCTGCTATATTCCACTGGTCACACAAACCAGCCCTGCTACAATGTGAGAGAGGACAGCATGACCACAAACAAGTACAGGTGTCTGGAGATGGGGATTGCTGGGAGCCATTTTGGAGGCTGACTACCACAGTCACCAAGGAAGACCTCATTCAGAAAATGACCTTTGGATTCACCCTGGAAAGATGTGAGAGAGCTAGCCATGAGGATATCTGGGGAAAGATCATTCTATGCAGACGAAACATCATGAGCAAACATATATGTCTGGCGTATTTGATGGATGGCCGGCGACAATGTGGCTGAGGCAGGGGGAGCAGGAGGGAAAGGAAGACAGGATGCCAAAGAGGTGACGGGCAGGGGAATGCTTTCATCTTTACATGTTTCAGAAAGACAAGTTATGAGCAGAGAACTGACATGATCTGAATTAGGATTTGATAAAATGCATCTAGTTACTATGTTGAGAATAGATCAAAGGGAAGTAAGTGCAGAAGCAGGACGACAAATTAGGAGGTGAGAGATGATGGTGGTAGGAAGTAGTCTCCCAGCCTGGGCAACAGGGTGAAATCCTGTCTCTACAAAAAATACAAAAATTAGCCGGGCATGGTGGCAGGTGCCTGTAGTCCCAGCTGTTTGGGAGGCTGAGATGGGATGATCACTTGAGCCCGGGAGGTGGAGGGTGCAGTGAGTGGAGATCACACCACTGCATCCCAGCCTGGGTGAGAGATTCTGTCTCAAAAATAAAGTAAAATAAAAAGTAAAAAGAAGTGGCCCAATTCCAGAAACATTTTGAAGGTAGAACAGATAATTTGCTGATGGGTTGAATGCAGGGTATAAAAGAGGAGTCAAAGATAACATGAGGTTTTTTGTCCATGTAAGTGGAAGAATATAGTTGCCATCATCTACGTATGGTAAGAATGAAGACAGAACAGTGTTAGGGTAAATAGCAGGTGCTCAACTTTGAATATGTTAAGTGTGAAGTGCCTATTAGATATCCAAATAGAAATGTTGAGTCAACAATCAAGGTGGGAGTTCTGGAAAGAGTTTGAGGTTAGAGATACAAATTTGGGAATCATCAGATATAAGTGGTATTTAAAACTTTGAGATTAGATAAAATCACCTAAGAAATAAGTGCAGATTAAACAAGGAGGTGAGATGTAAGGACTAAGGCCTGAGACACTCCAACAAAAAAAGAAAGAAAGAAGGAAGGAAGGGAGGGAAGGAGGGAGGGAATAAGGAAGGAAGAAAGAAAGGAAGGAAGGAGGAAGGGAGGGAGGGAAGGAAGGAAGGAAAGAAAGAAGGAAGAAACAGAAAGAAAGAAAGAAAGAAAGAAAGAAAGAAAGAAAGAAAGAAAGAAAGAAAGAAAGAAAGAAAGATCAAGAGAAAGAAAGAAGAGTGTGGCCAGAGAGATAGGAGTCAAACCAGGTGAGGATGGTGTCTTATAAGTCAAGTGAAAACGTTTTTTAAGGAAAACTTAGAGAGACCGCCTATGTGAAATGCTGCTGAGAGGATGAGAAATGCCCATTGGCAGCAGGATGTGGAGTTCATTAGCTACCATGACCTGAGCAGTTCTGATGGAATGGTAGAAGCAAAAACCTCACTGGAATGGGTTGAAGATAGAACGGAAGGTGAGAAATTGGAGACTGAATATTCCTTTAAATAATTTTGTGCGAAAGGAGGAAGGCAACTGGGTGATAACTGAAGAGAAAACAGAGCCAAGAGAGGGATTTTTAAAGATGGGAGATGAGATCTAATAGCACACGTTTGTGCTGAGGAAATGATGGGAGAGAAAAACTAATAAAGCATGAGACAGGAAAGAATTGCTGGGACGAAGTCTTGAGTCGGTTGGAGGGGACAGGGCCTAAGACACAATGGAGTGAGGGCTCCCGTCAGGGAGCACAGACAATAGCAGGAGAGCAGGCAGAGTGCAGGAGCGCAGGAGCAGACAGCTAGGTGGAAGTGGTAAGGCCTTCAACTCACAGCGAGAGTGAGGCAGGAGGTGTTGCAGTTTCGAGGAGAGAGGAGGAGATGTGAAAGTGTTGTCCAGGAGTGTAGGAGAATGAATCAATCAGGCAAATGTGGCATGATAGCTACGCAGCATTGAGGGTTCACATGAGATAAATGGTTATGAATTTAAAGCAGACCAGTCAGCATGGCTGTGTATTTCCTGGTCATGTTCAGCTGCATGGGGGTAGGTGCAAAGTAGTAGGAGAGTTGGATGCAAAAAAGCTGTGGTTTGGCCAAGTGAGTTTAATAACGAATAAGAAATGTTAGGAGCCATGAGCAGTAGCTTACGCCTGTAATCCTAGCACTTTGGGAGGCCGAGGCAGTAGGATCACTTGAGCCCAGGAGTTCAAAACCAGCCTGGGCCACATGGTGAGACCCTGTCTCTACTATAAATACAAAAAAATTAGCCAGGTGTGGTGGTGCACACCTGTAGTCCCAGCTACTTGTAAGGCTGAAGTAGGAGGATCACCTGAGCCCAGGAAGTTGAGACTGCAGTGAGCTCTGATCCTACCACTGCACTCCAGCCTGGGTAAGGAGAGTGAGACCCTGTCTCAAAAAAAAAAAAAAAAAAAAAAAAAAGGCCGGGCGTAGTGGCTCACACCTGCAATCCCAGCACTTTGGGAGGCCAAGGCAGGCGGATCACCTGAGGTCAGGAGTTCAAGACCAGCCTGGCTAACATGGTGAAACCCCATTTCTACTAAAAATACAAAAAATTAGCCAGGCTTGGTGGCACGCACCTGTAATCCCAGCTACTCAGGAGGCTGAGGCAGGAGAATCGCTTGAACCCGGGAAGTGGAGGTTGCAGTGAGCCAAGATTGCATCATTGCACTCCAGCTTTGGCAACAAGAGCGAAACACTGTCTAAAAAATAAATAAAGTAATAAATTAATTAAATACATAAAGATAAATAAAATAAATAAAAAAGGTGTTAGGACTCTTCTTATATATGTTCCTATAGCTATGAGGACCATTGTGCTGGTTTGCCCAGGATAGGCATAGTCTATATCTGTTTTCCCTAGGTAACTTTTTTATCGTAATTATTTTAGAGACAGAATCTCACTCTGTTGCGCAGGCTGGAGTGCAGTGGCTAGATCATGGCTCACTACAATCTCAAACTCCTGGCCTCAAGTGATCCTCTTGCCTCACCCTCCTGAGTAGCTAGGATTGCAGACATGTGCCACCATGCCCAGCTAATTTTTAAAATGTTTGTAGGATCTTGCTATGTTGCTCAAGCTGGTTTCAAACTCCTAGCCTCAAGCGATTCTCCAGCCTCAGCTTCCCAAAGTGCTGGGATTATAGGCATGGGCCACTGGGTCTGGTTTACAGTAATTATTGTGTCTCTTTTCACTATCAAAACATTTTGATTTGGATAATAAATGAAATGATCATTCATTCTACCTACAGCCAACATGGAGTCATTGAAGTTCTCCGGACAGAGAATTCATCAGTGTTGGACTTTAAAAAATTTTAAGCAGTAAATAGCTTGTTAGTTCCTTGAGATCACCGGTCATGTTTCATACCTCTTTGTCCCCAGTCTCTAGTGTAATTTTACTTGTGGTCTTCTTGTCTATCAGTTAGTCCTGAAAAAGCACAGGTGACTCAGTACCAGAAGAGTCATTGAAGATTATCCCACCTTTAGCCAAACTCTCTGGCCTCTCAAGACAAAGGAAGGGGATTGAGGCAATTTACACACTAAGAGGATCTTTTATAAGCCTGCTCAGAAGGATGATGGGGGTCAAGTCTTGAGTAGGTAGGAGTAGAAGGGAGGCCACTCAAGAGTCAAGCCATAGGCCGAGAGCAGTGGCTCACGCTTGTAATCCCAACACTTTGGGAGTCTGAGGCAGGCAGGTCACCTGAGGTCGGGAGTTTGAGACCAGCCTGGCCAACATGGAGAAACCCTGTCTCTACTAAAAATACAAAATTAGCCGGGCGTGGTGGCGGGCGCCTGTAATCCCAGCTACTCAGGAGGCTGAGGCAGAAGAATTGCTTGAACCCGGGAGGCAGAGGTTGTGGTGAGCTGAGATTGTGCCATCGCACTCCAGCCTGGGCAACAAGAGAGAAACTCCGTCTCAAAAAAAAAAAAAAAAAAAAGAGTCAAGCCATGGCTGCACGCAGTGACTCTTGCCTGTAATCCCAGCACTTTGGGAGCCTGAGGCGGGTGGATCACTTGAGGTCAGGAGTTCAAGACCAGCCTGGCCAACATGGTGAAACCCCATCTCTACTAAAAATACAAAAATTAGCCAGGCATGGTGGCAGGCGCCCGTGTTGACCTAAAGAAAAAACTGGTCAGATGCAGTGGCTCACGCCTGTAATCCCAGCACTTTGAGCGGCTGAGGCAGGAGAATCGCTGGAGTCCAGGAGTATGAGACCAGCGTGGACAACATAATGAGACCCCATCTCTACAAAATAAAAATAAAAAATAAATTTAAAAAAATTTTTAAAGAAAAAAAGAGGCAAAATTAATATAAGCAGAGAGTTTATTTGGGCCAACTTTGAGGGCTACAACCTGGGAACATGGATTCAGTTTGCCCTGAATATATACTGGATTTTTCTAAGTTGTTTACTAAGAATTTACATTAAAATAACATAAGCTATTAATTGGCTATCCATTGATCTTTGTATCACAAATTCAGTACCGTGAAGATAATGGGAACAAAAAATACCTTTAAACAATTCCCCCTTGACATGGATTGGGGGAGGAGCACAACTGAAGTCCCACACACATGTGTCTCTGGACTTGATAAATTTTGCATCCTTAACCCTAACTCAGACTGCTTTGGGCTATTTTTTCTTTTCTCATTTACGATATCTTTTATAATAAAATAGTAAGCATGGCCAGGCTTGGTGGCTCATGCCTGTAATCCCAGCACTTTGGGAGGCCAAGGCGAGTGGATCACCTGAGGTCAGGAGTTCGAGACTAGCCTGGTCAACATGGCAAAACCCTGTCTCTACTAAAAATACAAAAATTGGTCCAGCGTGGTGGCGGGTGCCTGTAATCCCAGCTACTCGGGAGACTGAGGCATGAGAATCGCTTGAACCTGAGAGGCGGAGGTTGCAATGAGCCGAGATCATGCCACTGCGCTCCAGGCTGGGGGATAGAGTGAGACTCTGTCTCAAAAAAAAAAAAAAAAAGTAAACATAAGCATTTCTCTGAGTTCTATGAGCTGCTCTAGCAAATTAATCAAACCCCAGAAAGGGGTCATGGAAACCCCAGTTTACATCTGATCAGTCAGAAGCACAGGTAAAACATACCTGGAGCTTGTGATTGGCATCTGAAGTCGGGGGCAGTCTTCTAGCACTGAACCCTCAACCTGTGGGATCTGACACCATCTCCAGGTAGACTTAGAGGACACCCAGCTGGTGTGTCTGCTGCAGAATTGATTGCTTGCTTATTGGTGTGTGGGGTAAAACCTACACACATTTGGTCACAGTTTTCTGTGTTGATTGATTGTGGTGTGAGAGCAGGGGCAAAACAGCTTGTTTTTTTCCACACTGCCAGCAACCTATCTCCTTGGAAGTCACATCGTGTTACTTCTGTCACAAGTCTACCCAGTTTCAAGGGAAGAGGCTTGCCTCTCAATGTGGAGAGGGTTCAAGTCACTTCCTTTCAAGGAATACTTCCCCTCTGCCCTCTGAAGTTTCGCTGAAAAATCAACTTAGAAAAGGCAGATTAATTGGAGAAAAGGCATACACATGTATCATTAATGTGTATGTGGGGAGAACCACAGGGTGATTGCTCACTTCCCAGTGGAGTTTGGAAGTTTATATATCATCCTGGCAAAACAGACTATGGGAGCGGGAGAAGAGGAATTCTGCTGAGGGGCAATAAAGGATTACTAGGGAGAATGCATGGATGCCAGAACAGAGATTAACTTGTCTTAGTCCTGCAGGGAGGGGAAGAAAAAACAATTGTTCTCCTTTGTGGGTCTGGATTTTGGGCAGATAAAGGAACTTCAGAGAACAACTTCATCCTGGATTTGGGAGAGTCAGTGAGGGGGAGGTCAGAGAGACCTTGAGGTTTCTTCTTCATTCATGATATGATTTGGCTCTGTCCCCACCTAAATCTCCTCTTGAATTGTAGTTCCCATAATCCCCATGTGTTATTGGAAGAACCTGGTGGGAGGTAATTGAATCATGGGGGCAGTTACCTCCACGCTGTTCTTGTGATAGTGAGCGAGCTCTTACGAGATCTGATGGTTTTATAAGGGGCTTTTCCCCACCTTAGCTCTGCACTTCTCCTTGCTGCTGTCAAGTGAAGAAGAACTTGTGTTTGCTTCCCCTTCCACCATGATCGTGAGTTTCCTGAGGCCTCCCCAGCTCTGCAGAACTGTGAGTCAATTAAACCTCTTCCTTTATAAATTACCCAGTCTCAGGTATGTCTTTATTAGCAGCGTGAGAAGGGACTAATACAGTTCAGCATGTCAAAAGGCCATATTTTGGAATCTTGGTTTCAGAGCCCAACAATCACATGGGATGGGTAACATTGTTTTGTGCATTTTGGGAAAATGTAATCATGACACCAACTTTTGGTTCTTCAACCTTCCTTCCTTCCAAGGAGTCTTATTGGAAGAACTCAAGACCACATGTTTTTGTATATTTGTTAACTTTAGCCATTTTTCTGTTGACAATCCTTCCCCAAAGAGAACTTCTTACCTAGCTTCCCTTCCCAATACATGGTGATGTGAATAAGGGTTTGCCAATGTCCAGTGGGTTTATTGAATGGAGATTATAGGCTGTACCTCCTCAGAGAGAAATTCAACAGAATGAGAGAAAAAATCACATCTATTTCAGCAGTTCAACAAGGTTATTAGTGAGATATCACATGATATATTAGTTTTTAATTGTTGTATAATAAAATACCAAAAGTTTAGTGCCTTAAAACAATATAGATTTATGATCTCACAGTTTCTGTGAGTCAGGAGTCTGGCATGTTTTAGCTGGGTCCCTAGCTCATGGTCCCACCAGGCTGAAATCAAGGTGGCAGCTGGGTTTGTCTTCATCTGGAGGCTTAGCTATGGAAAGGTTTATTTCTAAGCTCCCTCGGGTTGTTGGGAGAGTTCATTTTCTTGCAGTTGCATACCTGAGGTTCCCATTTCCTTGCTAGCTGTTAGCTGGGAACTGCTTTCAACAACTAGAAGTTACTCTCTGGTCTTTGCCATGCAGCCCTCTCCAATGGCCCTTTGAACATGGTAACCTACTTCTTCAAGGCCAGCAGAAGAATCTCTTTCATTTCGGAATCTCTTTCTCTTCAAATCTCTGACTTTAAGATGGGCCCTGATAGTGTTTGAATGTGTGTCCTCTTTAAAACTCATGCTGAAATATGATCCCCAGTGTTGGAGGTGGGGCCTGGTGGAAGGTGTTTGGATCATGGGAGCAGATCCCTCATGAATGTATTGGTTATCCCTTCCCCACCCACCTTGCCCCGGGGTAATGTGTTCACATGAGATCTAGTTAAAAAGAGTCTGGGGACCCAGCACAGTGACTTATGCCTGTAATTCCAACAGTTTGGGAGGCCAAGGTGGGAGGATTGCTTGAGCTCAGGAGTTCGAGACTAGCCTGGGAAACATAGTGAAATCTCATCTCTACTAAAAATTCAACAAATTAGTTAGGCATGGGGGCACAAGTCTGTAGTCCTGCCTCAAGAGGCTGAGGTTGGGAGAATCACTTGAGCCCAGAAGGATTGCTTGAGCCCAGGAGGTTGCAGTGAGCTGTGATTGTGCCACTGCATTCCAGCCTGGTGGACAGAGCAAGATCCTGTCTCAAAAAAAAAACAAAAAACAAAAAACAAAAACAAAAAAACCTGTCTTCAATCTTCCACATCTCTCTCTTGCTCCCTCTCTTGCCATGTGACAAATCTGCTCCCCCTGTGCCTTCTACCATGAATAAAAGGTTCCTGAGGCCTCACCAGAAGTTTAGCATTTGCTGGTGCCATTCTTGTACAGCCTGCAGAACTGTGAGTGAAATAAACCTCTTTTCTTTATAAATTACACAGTCTCAGGTATACCTTTATAAGAAAGCAAAATGGACTAATACAGGCCTTGTCTCTTTTAAGGACTCACCTAGTTAGGTCAGGTCCATCCAGGATAATCTCCCTTTTGATTAGCTCAAAGTCAGCTGATTTGGGACCTTCAATACATCTGCAGAATTCTTTCGCCTTTGTCAAGTAACATAACATAATCATGAGAACCATCAGCCCAAAGATGGTACAGAGGAGTAGAGGGTAGCCCAGAGCAAACATATGGAGTGAGAACAGGAGAAGCCCCAGAAAACCAACATTCAGGAAGCAGAAAGAATACAAGGAACCACTGATGGACCCTGAGAAGGAGTAGCCAGAGACATAGGAAGACAACCAGGGGAGCTGTCTTGCTGCGGAAGACAGGCATGGGAGTTTTAAAATATGTGCACAAATTCTTTGCTATCCCTCCCTTTAAAAGGTGGTATCTAAATCTCTTCCTCTTAAGTGTGGGCTAGACTTAGTGACTCACTTCTAATGAATAGAATAAAGTGGGCTGAGTGCGGTGGCTCACGCCTGTAATCCCAACACTTTGGGAGGCCGAGGCAGGCAGATCACTTGAGGCCAGGAGTTTGAGACCAACCTGGGCAACATGGTAAAACCCCGTCTCTACTAAAAATACAAAAGTTAGCTGGTTGTGGTGGCACGCGCCTGTAATTCCAGCTGCTTGAGAGGCTGAGGCATGAGCATTGCTTGAACCTGTGAGGTGGAGGTTGCAGTGAGCCGACATCAAGCCACTGCACTCCAGCCTGGGCCACAGAGCAAGACTCCGTCTCAAAAAAAAAAAAAAAAAAGTATAAAGTGGAAGTGACAATGTGTGAATTTGGAGACTAGGTCATTAAAAGCACTGCAAATCCTGCCTCTTTCTTGCTGGGGGATGTTACTGCAGTGTCATGGCACAAATAGCGTTTGGAGACATTCACATCATGAGGAACTGAGGCATCCAGCCAAAAGCCATGTGAAGAGCCATGTTGGTAGGACCCCAGCCCCAGTCAAGCCTTCAAAGTGACTGTAACTACACGACAGACTTTGAACCAGAATCACCCTGCTAAGTCGTTCTGGAATTCCTGACCCACAGAAACTGTGAGATAATAACTCTTTGTTGTTGTTGTTGTTGTTGTTGTTATCGTTGCTGTTGTTGTTTTTGAGACAGAGTCTTGCTCCATCGCCCAGGCTGGAGTGCAGTGGCACGATCTCAGCTCACTGCAACCTCTGCCTCCTGGGTTCAAGCAATTCTCCTGTCTCAGCCTCCCGAGTAGCTGGGACTACAGGTGCCTGCCACCACGCCCAGCTAATTTTTGTATTTTTAGTAGAGATGGGGTTTCACCTTGTTGGTCAGGCTGGTCTTGAACTCCTGGCCTCAGGTGATCCATCCACCTGCCTCAGCCTCCCAAAGTGCTAGGATTACAGGCATGACCCCCCGTGCCCGGCCAACTCTTTGTTGTTTTAAGGCACTAAAGTTTTGGAGTAATTGGTTACACAGCAGTAGATAATGAATACAATAAGGGAGCAGGTAGTTTTTCAAGGGAAGAGTGATCAACCATATCCATGCAGAATTTAGCTTGATTTTTTTTTAACACAGTTATCTTCTGGTGGGTACTGAGTCCTGTTGTATTATTCCAGAGTTGAGGAAGTTTAACTCAGCTTTTGTAGGAGTCCCTTGGCTAGGATGAATACAATCATGTGAAACTAGCAATCATTTGCTTTTTCACTTATATAATGCTGGAGGGGAAGAAAAAAAGGAGCATCTGGAGACTGCAATCAATCAGTCCTCACTCACAAGACAGCTTTGGCTCATTGCAGAGTGAATTTGGAAGAGCTTTATTTTTTATTTTTTTATTTTTTAGACAGAGTCTCACTCTGTCGCCCAGGCTGGAGTGCAGTGGTGCAATCTCGGCTCGCTGCAATCTCTGCCTCCCGGGTTCAAGTGATTCTCCTGCCTCAGCCTCCTAAGTAGCTGGGACTACAGGCACCCGCCACCATGCCTGGCTAATTTTTTTTTTTTTTTTAGTAGAGACGGGGTTTCACCGTGTTAGCCAGGATGGTCTCGATCTCCTGAACTCGTGATCGGCCTGCCTTGGCCTCCCAAAGTGGTGGGATTACAGGCGTGAGCCACCGCGCCCGGCCTTTTTTTTTTTTTTCTTTTTTTTAAGGCACCAACTTACAAATCCTTCCTGTGCCTTTGGCCAGCAGGCTTATAGGGAGTAAAATCAAATAACTGAACGTTCTCTGCTACCCCTCTGAATTCTTCTGGGTGAAATCAAGACATCTGTTGATGGCTTTATTATTTCCAGTAAATGATCCAAAGTGACTTGTGCTTTAGTCAGTCATCACTTGATTGAGCAGCTCTTGAAGAGGGAGAATGTCCCAGGAATCTTACTTCTGTTTCCACCTCTTGTCCAAAACTTGTCTCTCAAAGGCCTCACAGAACTCAATGCCAAATAGACAGACCCTTTCTTAGTTGCACACTTTTTGACATAGATCAGCCAGTTTGGTGAGAAGGAAGCCCTAATGCTCTCAGCATCCAAGGCACTATGTGCAATAAATTAACTTCTCTCCTTTGCATTTAAATGGAACTGGTTATGTACCTTGGGGGAATTGAGAAAACAGTCACCCAAATAATATTCTGTATTCCATGGTTCAGACGCGGAACACTGGTTGAGAAAGATACTCAGGCAGGTATGTTGGATTTTACAGTTGCTTCCGTTTGAATCACTGGCTGACTTAGCATGGCATTGGTAAGCTTTTCAATTTGTTCTTGCTCCAGATTTAAACACATTTACTACAGTTCTTTACTTCTTAGTTTTTTACATTTTATTTTAGCTTTGAAAGTTCCTTGGTCCTTTAATCCTTCAAGTCTTCAAGTCTTTTAACTTGTACTGATTTGGCAGTTTAATTGTTCTTAGCATGCTTTGTCTTTTCTTCCTATTTTATACATCTTTATTTTATTTCACTTAACCTTTTTGTCCTCAATCACATATATATATCACATATACATATATATCATATATACATATGTATATTTATCATATATACATATATATATATATTTTTTTTTTTTTTGAGACAGAGTCTCACTCTGTCACCCAGGCTGAAGTGCAGTGGCACAATCTCGGCTCGCTGCAACTTCCACCTCCCAGGGTCAAGTCATTCTCTTGCCTCTGCCTCCCGAGTAGCTGGGATTACAGGCACACACCATCACACCCAGCTAATTTTTGGATTTTAGTAGAGACGGGGTTTCACCATGTTGGCCAGGCTGCTCTCGAACTCCTGACCTCACGTGATCTGCCCTCCACAGCCTCCGAAAGTGCTGATATTACCGGTGTGAGCCACCATGCTCAGCCCTCAATCATATTTTTTGTTTCTTCTTGTCACTTTAAACTTTATAGTTGCTTCTTGCTTTTTTTTTTTTTTTTGAGACAGGGTCTCACTGTCATTCAGGCTGGAGTGCAGTGGCAAAATCATGACTTACTGTAGCCTCAAACTCCTGGGCTCAAGTGATCTTCCCACCTCAGCCTCCCAAGCTGAGACTACAGGGACGTACCACCACACCCGGCTCATTTTAAAATTTTTTGTAAAGATGAGGTCTCACTATGTTGTCCAGGCTGGTCTTGAATTCCTGGCCTCAAGTGATCCTCTTTCTTGGCCTCCCAAAGTGCTGTGATGACAGGCGTGAGCCACTGTTGCCCTCTTTTTATCTTGTCTTTTATTACAGTTTTGATTTTTCCATTAATTTAATATTTTTTCTTTATTAAATGCTTTTTTGGCCAGGCACAGTGGCTCATGCCTGTAATCCTAGCACTTTGGGAGGCCGAGGCGGGCAGATCACCTGAGGTCAGGAGTTCAAGACCAGCCTGGCCAACATGATGAAATGCCATCTCTACTAAAATACAAAAATTAGCCGTGCAAGATGGCAGGTGCCTATAATCCCAGCTACTCCAGAGGCTGAGATGGGAGAATCACTTGAACCCGGGAGACGGTGATTGCAGTGAGCTGAGATTGAGCCACTGCACTCCAGCTTGGGCGGCTGAGTGAGAGTCCATCTCAAAAAAAAAAAAATTAAATAAATAAATAAACAAATGCTTTTTAAAAAATAACTTACTTTCTCTTGATTTATTAAATGGAAGGCATAAGCACAGTTCTAATGTGCGGCTGTGCTGTGCAGATGACCCACAGCTTAAGCTAAGGGGGCCAGAAGTTTTTCCCCTCTGTTTTGTGGTGCTGGCTTCCTTTAATGGGCACATATTATCTTCCTAGTTAAAAAAATCTTAACCTGATTGATATAGGAGACCTGCTGGCCAGAAGTTCCCCTAAGGTTAAGATTCCCATTCCCTGGTGTACAAACCCTGAATAATCCCTTCCCCTTGAGTGTGGGTGGGACATGTAAATATCCCACTCCTGTGTACCACCTTTGGGCTGATGACTCTCTAACCCAGGGGTTGGCAGACTTTTTCTGAAAGGGCCACATGGCTTTGTGGGCCATACAGTCTCTGTTGCAAATACTCAACTCTGCTGCTGTATTATGAAAGCAGGCATAAGGAATACAGAAATGGAGTTGGGCACAGTAGTTCATGCCTATAATCCCAGCACTTTGGGAGGCCAAGGTGGGAGGATTGCTTGAGGTTAGGAGTTGAGGACCAGCCTGGACAACATAGGGAGACCCCATCTCTACAAAAACTAAAAATAAAAAATTAGCCAGGTGTGGTGGTGCATGTCTGCAGTCCTAGCTACTTGAGAGGTTGAGGCAGGAGAATCTTTTGAGCCCAAGAGTTCAAGTTACAGTGAGCCATGATCATACCACTGCATTCCGCCCTAAGTGATAGAGCAAGACCCTATCTCTTAACTAACTAACTAACTAACTAAATAAATAAATAAATCAGAATGAATGGGCTTGACTGTGTTTCAATAATGCTTTATTTGCAAAACAGGCTGCCAGCCCCCTGGCCATGGTTTACTGACTCTAAACCATATCACCTTCCCCAGACCCTTCTCCTGGACTCCAGATGCACCTCCACCTGCCCTCTGGGCATCTCATCTTAGCTGTCTCAGAGGCAGGTCAGACTCATCTCCTCCTGTAGTCCACTCCTGACACCTAGTTTTTTCCTGTGTTCTCTGTCTTATAAACCATATCCCCATCTTGTCAAGTGCTGGAGTCGGAAAACCAGACATGATCTCCCCTCATCTCTCTCCCCAACGTCCCATATCTAATCAGTCACCAATTAGTCTAATTTCTAAAGTTATCTCAGATCTATGCCCTTGATTCCATCTGTACTGCTACCAATCACTATTTCCTATCTCAAATACCATGACAGTCCCCTGCAGTGGGCAGAAAAATGGCCTGGCAAAGATGTCCACATCCTAATCCCCAGAACCTATGAATATTTTGCCTTGCATGAGAAAAGGGACTTTGCAGATGTGACTAAATGAAGGATCTTGAGATAGGGAGGTTATCCTGGGTTATCCAGAGGGGCCCAATGTAATCACAAAGGTCCTTATAAAAGAGAGGTTGGGTTGGACGTGGTGGCTCACACCTGTAATCCCAGCACTTTGGGAGGCCGAGGTGGGTGCATCACTTGAAGGTCAGGAGTTTGAGACCAGCCTGGCCAACGTGGTGAAACCCCCATCTCTACTAAAAATACAAAAATTAGCCGGGCATGGTGGCAAGTGACTGTAGTCCCAGCTACTCGGGAGGCTGAGGCAGGAGAATCGCTTGAACCCAGGATTGTGCCATTGCACTCCAGCCTGGGCAACAAGAGCAAAACTTCATCTCAAAAAAAAAAGAGAGGCTGGAGGGTCAGACATAGAGAAGAGACATGAACACAAAAGCAGAGGTTGGAGTCATCCCCTTTGAACGTGGAGGAAGGGGCCATGACCCCAGGAATGCAGATGGTCCCTGGAAGCTGGAAAAGACATAGACACGGATTTTCCACTTGAACTTCTAGAAGGAACCCGCCCGGCCAACACCTTAACTTTATCCCAGTGAGTCTGACTTTGGACTTCTGACCTCCAGACCTGTGTGATTTGTATTACATTTATGTGATTTGTAGCCACTCAATCTGTGGTCATTTGTTACAGCAACCACAGGGAAGCACTACATGTCCTAATCCTCCCTCCAGTCTTGTTCCCCCTCAGCCTGTTCCCCACATCACCCCAAACACAAATATGATCTGTCCCATTCCCCACTGAAAACACTTCAGTGACTTCCTGCATCCTTAGGATAAATTGCAAGCTCCTTACAAGACCCCATCACCCGGCTCCCACCAGTTCATGTTCTGATCATAATGAATTTTATGTCATGCTCTCTCCTGTTAAACTGGATGCTCTGTTTAGGACACATTTTCCTCCTCTCTGTCCAGACTCCTCTAAGTCCTCTTCAGTTCTCAACTTAGACATCATTTCCTCAGGGAGCTGGTCCCTGGCCCCATTCTGAGTTCAGTCCCTCTGTTGAAGACGACACTGTAATTCCGCTATCATAGCCCCGACCTGCTTCATGTTGGGACATGAAGTCAGAGACTGCACATCCATCTGGTTGGCCACTCTGCACCCAGCACCTTGCCTGCTGCCTGGCACACACCAGGGCACAGTGAATACAAAAGTGAACAAGGGGCAAGTCCAGGGAGACTGAGTGGAGGTGGAGTTGAGGGGCTCCAGTACTATCTAATCTCCCCTTGCAAAAACTGGGGGTGGAAAGTCCATGGGGAGAGAGATCTGGAGCAGGCTTAGGGCGGTGGGAGTCTGAATTGCCCTCATTTCCCTTTCTGCTCAGCCCTGGTGGGGAAGGTGCTGGGAAGGGGAGCCAGGCGTCACTGCCCCACTGCTACAATTAGCTGAGCCTTTCATTCTCCCTCTACAAAGAGGAGAGAGAAAATCAAAGGGAGATAAAAGTGAATGTCCCACAAAGGACATCGAGATGAGGGGGAAGGAAGGGAGGGTGGTGGGAGTGAGAGGCAGAGGCAGAGAGAACGCCCTGCGGCCCAAACAAAAGCCTAAAACCAGCGGATCCCAAGCATCAGACGGTAGAGACATAAGGACAGGAAGAGACTGGGCCGCGTGGGGATCGGGCAGCCCATCAGCCAAGGAGGAGAGGGAATGAAGAAAGATAAAACGCCTATGTGAATGGCCAGGGAAGAGGGTGGACAGGGACCCCGGATGGAGTGAGGACAAAAGCATGAAAAGACAAGATCGCCACCATCCCGTGAGCCACTCCACCGGGGCAAAACAAAGAGGAGCTGGAGACAAAGGCAGAGGGAGGAAGGTGGAGAGGGAACAAACTGGTCCTGCATTGGCGACAGGGCTGTCAGCGTGGGGCTTAGCAGTACATTCTCCAGAGTGGTCAGCTTAGGCTCTGGTGGGAAGAGGTAATCGGGGTACTGGCCTATATTTACTGAAAGATTAAATGAAAGAAATCCTACCTGATTAGGTTTCTTGTTTTTGAACTCTATAGCAGTGGAATTTAAGAAATGAACAAAACAAATACAAGGTAGTCTTGAGCCTTCCAACACGTGTGAATTTTGTGTCTGGCTTCTTTTCTGGACATTATGTAGAGTGTAGTGCAGCTAGGTCATTGTGATTGCTGTGTAGTATTCCATTGTGTGAATATGCTACCATTTGTTTTCCTATTCTTCTATCTGGTGGAGGATTTTAATTCAGGTCCACGATCTCTTATCTGAAACCTTAGGGCTAGATGTGTTTCAGAATTTTAGTAAGGTAAGATGCACATACCCTGTATTACACAACTCCCAGAGCAAGCTCTGTGGCAGTTCCCTCAAATCAAGCACATTAATATTTCTGCAAGGAAATGAATGAAGATTCACCCTATAAATAGCTTCACCTCAGTTCAGGTCAGGTTTTGCTGCCAAATAAGTTCAGGCTAGATCAGGTTATGCCATCAAGTAAGAGATGACAGAGTTTTGGTTTTCATGGCTTTTTGGATTTCTGAATTGAGAGTTAGGAATTGTGGACCTGTATTTTACTAGTTCCCAATAACATTTGCTTTGGAAATACAGGCAGAAGATGAATTGGATAGTACCTCATGGACATCAGCAAAAATCAGAAGTCAGAAATAATGGCCCCAAGGTGTTTAAGCAGTGAGATGTTGCCTAGAAGGGCTCTGGAGTTGGTTAAAGGGGGTTTCAAACTCTGCCTTTGTGTGGGAGACCAGGAAGACCCCTGCAGGCTGCTGGCCGCTCAGGTTCCATTGCCTGGGGCTATTTGAACATTGTAAACCTTTGTTTTTATAACCTCAGCTTCTAATCTCATAAATTGTTGATTGTATTTTTTTGTATAATTTTAAAAGCTTATTTATCTCTTTTCTCCTTTTCATCTTTGAGTCCTCTAGTTCTGTTTTACTTATCTTGATCATTCCTTATCTCTATTTTGTTCTTTATGATTTTATATGACATTCTTTCATCTCATCTTATCTTCTCGCTTTTACTGTTATTGTGCTGTTTTTTTGTGACTGGCGAAAAACTCCTGGGGTTTGGAGAAGCAGACAGTGGTAATTTGTCCCCTGACCTCCCTGGGAGCCAGATTGCTCTGTACTTGGGAACGTTTCCTTCCTTAGGGAGATTTCTGTGTGGTGGGGAGCCCCTCAACATTTAATCTCAAGCCTTGACCAAGCATTGCTCCTGGGACTTTTGAAGCCTTGGTCTCAAAGCAGGAAGCTGTTACAGGTGATGGGGATTTAATTCTGGGCAAATATTTCTTTGTTCTGGAAGACCAGACCCTGGGCCTCAATGACCCAGCATAGATAGCCTTTCCTGGCCCACATATGGGTGGGCCTTAAGAGGCCCACGTCAGCCTCTTAAGAGCTCAGGAGTGCTCTATGGTGAGGATGCAACAACATGTACCAGTTAATCTTTCCCCTGGTGATAGCAGCTTCTTTTCCATAGGGAGGTAGAGGGTGTTGTGCCTGTAAATCACAGAGCAACGAGTGAGGATTTGGCCCAGTTCTAGCCATTGCTAGATGGGGCACAGAGAGGAAGCTGCCAGCAGGATAGCAAGGCATAATATTCTTCCCAGCTTGGCAGAGGTGTCCTTTATTATATTTATTTATTTATTTATTTTGAGACAGAGTTTCGCTCTTGTTGCCCAGGCTGGAGTGTGACGGCGCAATCTCAGCTCACCGCAATGTCCGCCTCCCAGGTTCAAGCGATTCTCCTGCCTCAGCCTCCTGAGTAGCTGGGATTACAGGTATGTGCCACCATGCCCAGCTAATTTTTGTGTTTTTAGTGGAGACAAGGTTTATCCATGTTGGTCAGGCTGGCCTTGAACTCCTGACCTCAGGTGATCCACCCGCCTCAGCCTCCCAAAGTGCTGGGATTATAGGCGTGAATCACCGCACCTGGCCTGAGCCACCGCTCCTGGCCAGAGGTGCCCTTTACAGCCAGACTAAGAGGACCTTAGACACACCCAGGGGCATGCTTTCGTCTCCTCATGAGGCTATGCCAGGTTGAAGAACCCCGACCTTGGGAAATGTATTCCTGTGAGGAGAGAGGCCGGTTAAACCCTCTGCTCAGAGCTAAGGCAAGGCCTGCTCTGTCCTTTTGTTCTGTAGGGAATGCACATCTGACAATTACCCTAGCTGTGGGCAGATCCTTAGAAGGATGTGAGACCAGGGAGAAGTGGCCTGAGAGTGCCTTGGGGCTCAGAAGGTCCCCCATAAGAAAGCCTGAAGATCACTCTCTCTCCGAAGGGAGAAGGCAGGCCTGAGAGGCAAGGAAGCAGACTGGGAACGGGGCCGCAGGGGACTCAGAGCCAGCGTACCTGGTCATTGCAGGAACACACACATCTCCACGTTCCAAAGCCCCTCTGAGGGGCCCAGGTCTTCACTCAGATTGTCTGAACAGCCCCACCAGATTCCAGCTCGGCCATCAGGAGCAAAGGATCAGCCCGTGTCCTCACTTAGGACTGAGCAGCAAGGCGAACCCTACCTTCGCGGCCCTCCTCGTGCTGGGTGCAGTTCAGACTGTGGGCTTGGGGGGAACCTGTGGTTGTGCTTGGCAACCTCCAGAGTTGACTGGCCTTGGAGGGTCTCAGGCTGAGTCGGGGGCTATTTTTAGTTCATTTAATCATTTAGTTGCTTACTGTCTTTTATATCGTTTTAATAATCTTTTTTATTTCTTTTAATTTACTTTGTCTCTTTTATTGTCTGCTATATTATTTTTTCTCTTCCTGTTTTCTATTTTTTCATCTTAATAAACTGGATGCTGGGAGTCTAGGCCTCTGGGGAGATCCATGAGGCAGCCCTTGCCCCCAGGCAAATGAAGCCGGATGCTCTGCCCTCTCTGATGGCCCCCAAATCCCCTTACCAGGCACCTCACATCCCCATTGACTCTGCTGACTCGTAAAAACCTCCACCAGTGGAATTCAGGAGCCCCCAGGCCAGAGTTGTCCCCAGGGTGATGATAATATATTTACCTACACTTACACACATTTGAAGTATAGGAAAATGTTGGTAACCCTTTTGCTATTGTTTTTGTTTGTTTTTTGAGATGGAGTCTTGCTCTGTCACCCAGGCTGGAGTCCAGTGGTGCAATCTCGGCTCACTGCAAGCTCCGCCTCCCAGGTTCGTGCCATTCTCCTGCCTCAGCCTCCCCAGCAGCTGGGACTACGGGTGCCTGCCACCATGCCCAGCTAATTTTTTTGTATTTTTAGTAGAGAGGGTTTCACCGTGTTAGCCAGGATGGTCTCGATCTCCTGACTTCATGATCCGCCCACCTCGGCCTCCCAAGGTGCTGGGATTACAGGCGTGAGCCACTGTGTCCAGCCACCCTTTTGCTATTTTTATAATTAGAAAGTTAATACATGCTCATCATCAAAAAATATAAATCTAAAAGTGTATGAAGTAGAAAATGTAAGTCCTCTGTTTCCCCCAAATCCTTGGGAGAAACCTTGCTAAGATAATACATGTGTGGAACTAAATCTGCAGCCTAGATATACACTTACCCATTTAAAATTTGATAGGTGGCTGGGCACAGTGCTTCATGCCTATAATCCCAGCACTTTGGGAGGCAGAGGCAGGCAGATCACCTGAGGTCAGGAGTTTGAGACCAGCCTCACCAACATGGTGAAACCCCATCTCTACTAAAAATACAAAAATTAGCTAGGCGTGATGTTGCACGCCTGTAGTCCCATCTACTCAGGAGGCTGAGGCAGGAGAATCACTTGAACCTGGGAGGTGCAGGTTGTAGTAAGCCGAGGCTGCGCCACTGTACTCCAGCCTGGGCAACAGAGTGAGACACGGACTCAAAAAATAAAATAAAATAAAATTTAATAGGTGGCTGGGCATGGTAGCTAACGCCTGTAATCTCAGCACTTTTGGAGGCTGAGGCAGGTGGATTGCTTGAGCTCAGGAGTTCAAGACCAGCCTGGGCAACATGGTGAGACCCTGTCTTTACCAAAAAAAAAAAAAATACAAAAAGTTAGCCAAGCATGGTGATGTGCACCTGTAGTCCCAGCTACTTGGGAGGCTGAGGTGGGAGGATCACTTGAGCCCAGGAGGTGGAGGTTGCAGTGAGCCATGATTGCGCTACTGCACAATTGCAACATTGCACTCCAGCCTGGACCACAGAGTGAGATCTTGTCTCAAAAAAAAATAAAAATAAAAATTGATAGTTAAGGCCAAATTGTCCTTCAGAAATACTAAGCCAATTTATATTTCTACCAACAGTTTAGGAAAGGGTCCCTTTTCCCTTTGCCTGCACCCTCACCAGCCTTCACCAACACAGCAGCAGGGCTAACCTAGACTTTTGGAAATTGTTCCTGTATCTGCCTACCCTTGTTTACCACCCCACCCCATTCTCAGGCTATTGGGATTCAGGGTCGATGGGAATGACTCTCGTCCGTTAATCACCAGGAGATGCAACATCCTTGCTGGGCAAGGCTCCTGCTGTGGACTCCTGCTGTGGACTCCCCCCACCGACCAGCACCGTAGGCCAGCTGCTGCCCCTACGAAGGACATGCCAATGAGCTCCCTGCAGTCTTGCAGAAGCAAAAACTTGCCCACTCAAGCAGGAGACCCCAGGCATGCTTGAAGGTGGGCAGGTGCCTGTCTTCATGTTCAAGTGGGCAGACACCCACCAAATGCCAAATGTGAGTCATGCCTGTGAGTCCCTCAGAATTTCTCCCAGATCCTGACCCTCCCACCACATCTAACAGCATCGCGTTGCTCCGGGGAATCCAAGTACTGTGTGTGCGCCCGGCAGGGGCCTGTGGTTAGGAAGGTGGGTGTTCCTGCCAGCCCACTGCTGCTGGGTGGAGAGTCCAAGGAGGGGCAGGGAGGGAGGGAGGTGTTGGTTGCATAGTCAGCTTCAGAGATACTCCATCTGCAGGTGAGAGAGGACGGATGGGAGGCAGCCCAAGCTAAGGGTAAACAGATGTGGAGATCAGGTGGGACCAGGTGGAAGAAGCAGCAGAAATGAGGTGAGAGGGTGAGGAGGAAAGCTGGCTGGAAGGAGGCCCCCACATACCCAGGACCTGAGTGCCAGCTGGCTCTTCAAGTCCAGGCAGCTGGTGGAAAGGTGAGAGCTAGTCAGTATCCCAGATAACTGGTTTGACGTTTCCTCTCTGAGTTAATTGAACAGTTAACTTTGGCCACAGAAAACAGCCCTGAATTTTATTACTTGGAAGTTAAGACAGACTTTCTCTTTTCCTTCTGCTTCCTCAATGATGTGGCTTTCTGTGGGACAAACCTCCCAGAAAGAGAGAGAGAGAGAGAGAGAGAGAGAGAGAGAGAGATGTTAGTGGCCATAGTCCATGGCAGCAGGTGCCTGGGTAGACCATCAGGGGCTGCCCAGGTGTGGTGGGTGAGGGGTCTCTGACATGGGTGAGAGATCCTTTATACCCCGGATGCCTTCACATGGAACAACCTGTCTTTTTTAAGGGGAAGCAATTTGGGTCAACAAGCATTTATCTAACAATAGACTGGCTTACCCCACACCCATTCTGAACCTCCTTTCCCTTACCAGTCTCCACTCTAGAGGCTGGAAAAATGAGTATCTTCTTTTCTCATCTTCTGTAGCTGTAGGGAACATTTGACAGTGTCCTGGCAGTGAGAGATAGGCAGAAACCTGCTTGGGTTTTGGAGAAGCTTGCTTTTTAATAAATGGGACAGATGTATCTGGCACCATCCCTTCCTCCTATATCCTGCCTTGAATAGGGATGTGATACCTTGAGCCATGGCATCCACATTGTGACTGTAAGAAAAAGGCCAAGAAAAATACAGGACATCATCCCCAATATTATTGTGTCCTAAACCAATGCCGGCTACTGACAATATCCAGACTTCTTGCTATTAAAAAAAAAAATCTCAACTTATTTCATCTCCTACTAGTTGGCTTTTCTGTTTCCTATCATTGAAAAACATTCCTAAGTGACAAACTTGCTATGGACATTTTCATAAGGAAGGAAACTTCAAGGAGGCCCTTAGCCTTTACAGTTGAACTGGGAGATGAGTCACCAAGATCCTCTATCTAGGAAAGAAAGTACCTGGAAAGGAGCTCCCTCCCTCCCTGCCACTGGAGGACCTGGACCTCCTAGCTCTGCTTGGGTGCCACTGTTAGGCTTTCCCCAGATGAAGGGCCCTGCACTGTTCATTTTGTGCAGGATAAATCCAGGCCCTGGGCTGAGTGCCAAACAAGTGAAAAAGACAGCTTCACCCTGATAGTCCCTCTGCCTCTCTGTCCCCTGAGCATCCCAGATTGTCCTCTGGAGGCACGTGTGCCTTGAGCCACGGCTGGGGCTCACTCCCAGGACAACGGTACAGCTGCTGTAGAGGCATAGGTTTGTCTGCTCTTGCCCCATCCTTCCTCCTGGGATCCTCGGAGCACATAACCCCATCTCAAGAGGCTTTCCAGACAAACTCTGGGGATCCAGGCAGCCTGCAAAATAAAAAACAGACCCCAGAGAATCAGTAGAATGAAACTAAAGTCTTCACTATGCTATCACTTTACTGCCTTTGTTAGGAGATGAAGTAGTTAATCTGGGATAATTGTTCTCTCTCTCCTTCAAGGGCTCCTCTGCCATCCTCCATTTCAGCTCAGTCTCATCCTTCATTCATTTTTACGGTTTCCATTTCTCCTAAAACCCTGTTAGTTCCTGAGCATCCTCTGCCAGCCAGACTTTCCTCCTGAGTTCCAGCCTCAGATATTCAGCTATTGCACAACTGCACCTGGGCTCCATAAACTTATCATGCCTAAAACATAAGTGTTTCCTGTCCCCAAATCTGCTTCTACCCCTGCATACCTTAATGGCACCAATACCCCCATAATAATTTCCTGTTGCTGCTATAACAAATTGCCACAAACCTAGTGGTTTATAAGATCACAGATTTACCTTACAATTCTTTAGGTCAGAAATCCAAAATGTGTCTCACTGGGTGAAAATCAAGGTAGAAGCTGTGCCATATTCTCCCTGGAGGTTCTGGGGAAAATCCATTTCATTGCCTTTCCAGCTTCCAGGCACTGACAGCATTTCTTGGCTGGTGGCCTCCTTACATCTGCAAAGCCAGCAATCACATCACACCAACCTCTGCACCCATCAACACATCTCTTTCTCTGATGCTCTTGCCTCCCTCTTTTTACTTATAAGGCCTCTTGTGGCTGGGCCGGGCACAGTGGCTCATGCCTGTAATCCCAGCACTTTGGGAGGCTCAGGCAGGTGGATCGCCTGAGGTCAGGAGTTTGAGACCAGCCTGGCCAAAATGGCAAAACCCCGTTTCTACTAAAAATACAAAAATTAGCTGGGCGTGGTGGCTCATGCCTGTAATCCCAGCTACTTGGGAGCCTGAGGCAGGAGAATTGCTTGAACCCGAGAGGCAGAGTTTGCAGTGAGCCGAGATCGCGCCACTGCACCACTCTAGCCTGGGTGACAGAGCCAGCCTCTGTCTAAAAAAAAAAAAAAAAAAAAAAAAAAATTCTCTTGTAATGACATCGCGCACACCTGCTAATCCAAGATTTATTAATTTAATCACATCTGCAATGCCCTTTTCCTTTCCTTTCTTTCTTTCTTTCTTTCTTTCTTTCTTTCTTTCTTTCTTTCTTTCTTTCTTTCCTTCCTTCCTTCCTTCTTTTTTTTATTGAGACAAGGTCTCGCTTTGTCACCCAGGCTGCAGTGCAGTGGCACAATCTCAGTTCAGGGCAACCTCCACCTTCCAGGTTCAAGTGATTCTCATGCCTCAACCTCCTGAGTAGCTAGGACTACAGGTGTGCACCACCATGCCCAGCTAATTTTTGTATTTTTAGTTGAGATAGGGTCTCACCATGCTGCCACCATGCCGGCGTATGTTACTAAGTTTTGGGGTAATTTGTTATGCAGCAATAACTCTTTCAAGAGACTAGAGAGGTGAGAGTTTCGCAGGGGGGCAGTCTTTTAAAGCAGTTCCCCATAAAAATGTCCTTAAACAGGACAGGCATGGTGGCTCACACGTGTAATCCCGGCACTTTGGGAGGCCGAGGTAGGTGGATCACTTGAGGTCAAGAGTTCAAGACCAGCCTGGCCAACATGGTGAAACCCTGTCTCTACTAAAAATGCAAAAATTAGCCAGGCATGATGGTGTGCACCTCTAATTCCAGCTACTCAGGAGGCTGAGGCAGGAGAATTGCTTGAACCCAGGGGGTGGAGGTTGCAGTGAGCTGAGATCGCACCACTGCACTCCAGCCTGAGTGACAGAGTGAGACTCGGTCTCAATTAAAAATATATATATTCTTTTTTTTTTTTTTTTTTTTTTTTTTTGAGACGGAGTCTCACTCTGTTGCCCAGGCTGGAGTGCAGTGGCACGATCTCAGCTCACTGCAAGCGCCGCCTCCTGGGTTCACACCATTCTCCTGTCTCAGCCTCCCCAGCAGCTGGGACTACAGGCACACGCCGCCACGCCTGGCTAATTTTTGTATTTTTAGTAGAGACGGGGTTTCACCGTGTTAGCCAGGATGGTCTGGATCTCCTGACCTTGTGATCTGCCCGCCTCGGCCTCCCTCCCAAAGTGCTGGGATTACAGGCGTGAGCCACCGTGCCTGGCCAAAAAAAAAAATTCTTAAAAAAAAAAAAAATTCTTAAACAGCTGTGTCACCTGGCACATTTTTGATAGCTGTGTCCTCTGCCTGGGATGCCTGATTTTCACATGGCCGACTCTTATCACTCAACTCTTTCTAGAAGGATTCTTCCAGCAGCAGGCCGGGCTTGGTGGCTCACGCCTGTAATCCCAGCATTTTGGGAGGCCGAGGAGGGCGAATCACGAAGTCAGGAGATCGAGACCATCCTGGCTAACATGGTGAAACCCCGTCTCTACTAAAAAATACAAAAAATTAGCCAGGCGTGGTGGCGGGCGCCTGTAGTCCCAGCTACTCGGGAGGCTGAGGCAGGAGAATGGCGTGAACCCGGGAGGCAGAGCTTGCAGTGAGCCGAGATCGCGCCACTGCACTCCGGCCTGGGCGACAGAGCGAGACTCCGTCTCAAAAAAAAAAAAAAGAAAGAAAGATTCTTCCAGCTGCCGCGCCCCGCCTTTCCGCAGTCATCTTCTGCACGGCATTTACGACTCTGTTAGGTTGCTTGGTTGGTTTTTACTGTCTCCCCCACTAGAATGGAGGTTCCATGAGAGCAGGGAGCACCCTCTTGCTCAGCATGGTGCCCTCAGCACACAGAACAGTGCTTGGCATAAATAGATGAGCCCAATGGCTCTCATTTTCTGCCTTTGCTTCCCCGCCACCCATGCTTCCTGTCATACTCTGCAGGACTTGAAGTTGCTTTTCAGTCATTCTGTCTCACACATTGTTCCTTCTCCTAGAATCCCTTTTCTCCTTCTCTTCTTCAGTTGTTGAGATGATTGAGACCTACATATCTTTTTTTTTTAATTAATTAATTAATTTTTTTTTTTTTACAGGGCCTTGCTCTGTCGCCCAGGCTGGAGTGCAGTGGTGCGACCACAGCTCACTACAGCCTTGACCTCCCAGTCTCAAGCAATCCTCCCACATCAGCCTCCCTAGTAGCTGGGACCACATGTTTGTGCCACCCTGCCTGGCTAATTTTTGTATTTTTTGTGGATACAGGGTTTCATCATGTTGCCCAGGCTGGTCTCAAACTCCTGGGCTCAAGCGATCTGCCCACCTCAGCCTACCAGAAAGTGTTGGGATTACAGGTGTGAGCCACTGCACCCAACAACACCTACGCATCTTTTAAGAAAGGTCAGCTGGCCGGGCACGGTGGCTCATACCTGTAATCCCGGCACTTTGGAAGTTCGAGGCCAGTGGATCACGAGGTCAGGAGTTTGAGACCAGCCTGACCAACATGGTGAAACCCCGTCTCTACTAAAAATACAGAAATTAGCCAGGCGTGGTAGCGCACACCTGTAATCCCAGCTACTCAGGAGGTTGAGGCAGGAGAATCACTTGAATCCGGGAGGTAGAGGTTGCAGTGAGCCGTGATTGTGCCGTTGCACTCCAGCCTGGGTGACAGAGCAAGACTCTGTCTCAAAAAAAAAAAAAGAAAGAAAAAAGAAAAAGAAAAAAAGCAAGCAAGCAAGCAAGCAAGAAAGGTCAGCCACCTGTCATCTGTCCCTCCTAAGTGCAAGTGTCGCATGCTGGGCTTCCCTGCCATCACACTTACTGTCCACTGGGGCTGGCAATGACTGTTGAAGTGTCTCTGCCCTGCCAGGTGTTGAAAGGCTGCGTCTCCTTCACTGTTGCATCCCTAGGGTCCATGGTTGTCTCACTGAGTGTTTGCTGAATAGAGAGGTGAGTGATGATGAGGAGGGCCCTGTGAGAGGCCCCTGGGGTTGGCCTGTACCTACACGATGTTCTCCTTCTCAGGGCCTTGCCCCTGCTGGCTGAGGAAGGGATGGGATTTATTCTGCATTCCCTATATGTGAGTGTCTCAACCTAAGTAAAACTCACTTCTGCTGTGCAATGATCCTTGAGGTGAACTTGGGGCACTGGAAACAGTCTCGGGGCGGGGGTATGGGCAAAGGAGTGACCTCAGCTGCCAATCACTGGAAGCCCAGAACAGCTTTCTCTCATCTCAAGGTGGGATGCCGCTGCATCACCTTCCTCTCATGCTGCATCGGATAGTTCCCTGGACAACTGCGCTCCATGGACTCACAAGCCCGCGCGATGGGAGTCAGGGGAGGCAACGTTGTCTGCCCTCCTCTCCTCCCACAGCATGCAGGAGGCCAGCGGTGGCGGGTGGCTTTGGTGATAGGAGGGAGTGTGTGAATTTGGGGCAGAAACCTGGTGGGAGAGAAAAAAGAGAGAAGAGAGAAAGATGAGAAGACAGTGGCCACTGCTGGCTTGCAGGCATTGACTCCCACTCCAAAACGCCTGACATAGCCTCCTGGATGTAGAATATCTCCCCTCCCCAACACAAAAAACCCCCTTTCCAGAACAAAAGCCCTGTCACTGAAAGCACTTATTTAACAACAATAACAGCAGAACACACAAGGTACAAAAACATTTTTCTAAAAAATTTTCCCAATTCAATTCAACAAATATTTATTTTCCAGAAAAAGCGGAGATATATAAAGAAATAGAAATGTGTGGGTTTTTTTCTTGTTTTTGATTGAAAAGCCTATCGGCACAACCAGGAGAACAGCACTGCCCTGGTGAGCCAAGCACAATGGGAAAGCATTTTTAAAATAGAAAAGAACACTAATATATAAATATACCCAGGTAATTTTAAAACATAGTGCAGCCTCAATGCTAGGGTGGGGGATGGGCCTCAGGCTCACAGGCAACCTGTGTTCTGTCTTCCCTGTGGGCTGCCTGGGGATACAGTTTAATCCAAGGTGAGCCTCCCTCATTGTCTTAAAAAACCATGTGATATGGGAGAAAATGTAAAACTATCACTAATAAAGATATACCTAACTAGCAAAAACCAATGTGGAAAATAATTTAGAAAGCAAATGGGCCGGGCGCAGTGGCTCACGCCTGTAATCCCAGCACTTTGGGAGGCTGAGGCAGGTGGATCACCTGAGGTCAAGAGTTTGAGACCAGCTTGGCCAATATGGTGAAACCCCATCTCTACTAAAAATTTAAAAAATTAGCCAGGCATGGTGGTGGATGTCTGTAATTCCAGCTACTCAGGAGGCTGAGGCAGGAGAATCTCTTGAACCCAGGAGGTGGAGGTTGCGGTGAGCTGAGATCGCACCATTGTACTCCAGCCTGGGCAACAAGAGTGAAACACTGTCTCAACGAAAAAAATAAAAAAGAAGAAAAGAAAAGAAAGAAAGCAAATGAGAGGCTGGACACAGTGGCTCATGCCTGTAATCCCAGCACTTTGGAAGGACTAGGCAGGCAGGTGGATCACCTGAGGTCAAGAGTTCGAGACCAGCCTGGCCAACATGGTGAAACCCTGTCTCTACTAAAAATACAAAATTAGCCAGGTGTGGTGTTGCATGCCTGTGATTCCAGCTACTTGGTAGGCTGAAGCAGGAGAATTGCTTGAGCCTGGGAGGCAGAGGCTACAGTGAGCCGAGACTGTGCCATTGCACTGCAGCCTGGGCAGTAAGAGTGGAAACTCTGTCTCAAAAAAAAAAAAAAGGAAAAGAAAAAGAAAAGAAAAAAGAAAGAAAGCAGATGGGAGTCAGGAGAGCCAGTTTTGGGTAAGAAAAGAGCACCGAACTAGAAGACAGAAGGCCACTTCCCTGCCCCATGCCTCAGTTTCCTCATCTGTAAAATGGATTCTGTCACCTCTACTATTCCTTCTGGCTCTAATAGGCCATGATTCTAAAGGGGTTGCTTAGGAATGTAGGGGCAAACATGGTGGAGGAGATGTGGAAATCCCATTAGGGACCTTCTAGCTACCTCTATCTGAAGACAAAGACCAGGGAAGACATCCCAGGCAAATGAATTGCGACCACAAAACTCCTTTAGGGAAACCAGTGGGCCCTGCCAAACTGAGCAGGAGTTTTTAACCTGTGTGCCATGAATCCTTTACAGGTTTTGATCATTGTGTCAAATTGATCTTTGCCACTGCTGTGGATACACGTATATTTCAGTGATTTCTTTTGCACAGAAGGGGGACATGGGCAAGTTGTGTGAGATGACACACAGTGGGCACCACTTGCCGTTGGGTAGAGGCAAGAGGCATTGCTGAACAGGCTCAACTTGGCCAAGGATGGTGTCTGATATGAACTGGATGTGTGTCCTTGCTCAAATCTCATATTGAAATGTAATCCCCAGTGCTGGAGGTGGGGCCTGGTGGGTGGCGATTGGATCATGGGAGTGGTTTCTCATGGTTTAACATCATCCTCCTGGTACCGTCATCACCATAGTAAGTTCTCTTGAGATCTGGTTGTTTGAAAGTGTGTGGCACCTCCCTGCTCTCTCTCTTCCTCCTGCTGTGGCCATGTGGAGCTCCTTGCTCCCACTTTGGCTTCCGCCACTATTGGAAACATTCTGAGGCCTCCCCAGAAGCAGAAGCCATGATGCTTCCTATACAGCCTGCAGAATCATGAGCCAATTAAACCTCTCTTCTTTGGCCGGGCGCGGTGGCTCACGCCTGTAATCCCAGCACTTTGGGAGGCCAAGGCGGGCAGATCACGAGGTCAGGAGATCGAGACCATCCTGGCCAACATAGTGAAACCCCATCTCTACTAAAAATACAAAAATTAGCTGGGCGTGGTGGCACGCGCCTGTAATCCCAGCTACCTGGGAGGCGGAGGCAGGAGAATCCCTTGAACCAGGGAGTTGGAGGTTGCAGTGAGCTGAGATCGCGCCACAGCACTCTAGCCTGGCGACAAAGTGAGACTCTGTCTCAAAATAAATAAATAAATAAATAAACCTCTCTTCTTCATAAATTACCCCAATCTCAAGTTTGTTTGTTTGTTTTTTAATAGCAGTGTGAGAATGGACTAATACAGTGTCAGAGAGAGGAACAACTCTACCCCACTGGTGACATATCCACACCAGTGAGAGCTGATGGCCAATGCTTTCATGGAGTCTGTGTATGGAGACTGTAGGGGTGAGTTGATGGCTCTGCTGGCTTGTTCAGTGTTGTTCTGAGTTCTTTTAGTCTCTTCAAGGATATTGCCAACACCTGTAATATTTGTAACATTACAAATATTAAATATTTATATTTATATTTATATTAAATCTTTATAAATAAATATTTAGGGCAGGCATGGTGGCTTACACCTGTAATCCCAGCACCTTGGGAGGCCGAGGCCAGCGGATCACGAGGTCAGGAGTTCGAGACCAGCCTGGCCAATATGGTGAAACCCCGTCTCTACTAAAAATACAAAAATTAGCCAGGTGTGGTGGCGGGCACCTGTAGTCCCAGCTACTCGGGAGGCTGAGGCAAAAGACTCTCTTTAACCTGGGAGGTGGAGGTTGCAGTGAGCCAAGATCGTGGCACTGCACTCCAGCCTGGGCAACAGAGCAAGATTCCATCTCGAAATAATAAATAAATAAATATGTAAATATTTAAAAATACAACATCTGTAATAAATGTACCATGAGCACTGTGGAGAACTCTGGGTACAAGGGATTCCCATGTTCCTTGCCTTACTGGTCAGTGAATTAGGCCTCTCGGGTCTCACTCCATTTTCTTCCTGTGCCTGAAGCACTTGTCTGTTTCAGCTGCCTTCTCTCCCCTGCTCTGGTTCTCTGCCCTCACCCCATACCCAACCCACACAGATGTACCAAGGGGGAACCTGCCATATCCTCTACCCCCACCCCATGCCCACAGACAATCCTGTCCTGAAGGCCATCCCCTGGCTTAATTATTTGCAGACCTTCCTTCTCTTTTGGGTCTCCCAAAGTCCAAGACTTATACATCAACCAGGTGCAAACAAACAAGCAAACAAGCAAAAAACAAGAAATGAAAGTCCAAGACTCTTCAGATAATTAAACCTGGAGGGAGAGGAAGGGCGAGGCCCACCCCCTGGGCTTTTGGAATCGGGCGGAGTGATTAGGTCATAATTGATCTTTATTGTTGCAGCTGAAGATTATTTATCCCACTCCCAGAGGAGCATGTGTCACCCGCCTGCCCCACCCCCAGCTTTCTGAAGCTGAACCGCCTGCACCCAAGTGGAACAGGGGGACTGGGGGTGGTGGCTGGGCTGTTTACTCATTCTCCCTCCTTGGGGGCCTCTGGCAGCTGCCCCTCCCTGACACGTCACATGGATTTTTCTCACTCTTCTCTTCACTGCCACGGGGCATCTCAGCCCTCCTGGGGACCTGGGCCAGGGACCAAAGCCCAGGCCAAAGACAGCGTCCTTAACAGCAGCCTCGGTTCACGAGTTCCTAAGAACTTTCCCAGGCATGCCCTGGAAAGGAAACAGGGGCGGGAGGAATGAGGTTCCCTAAAAATACATTGAGATTTCCCAGTGGAGGGATGAGTGGGAGGTGGAAGACAGGACTGTGAGTTACATGGGACATTCAGCTCCACTCTGTCCCCAAGGTGCAGAGGGGCCTGCTGGAAAAAACCTCCCTGAAAAAGAACGGGAAAGAGAAGAAGTTCTACTACCCACAGATAAATCTCCAAGGGCTGCCCTGGGCCATGTAGATTAATTCTATTATGATTTGTGATAATAATTCGTTTTATTTTTGTAGAGTCCTTTAAAACATTTTTTACTGATTTCATGTTGCTTGTCAGCATGACCTCATTTGTCCTGGTCTATGAGGCAGGGCAGAGATGAGCCCGATTTCATAAACAAGAGAAGTAAGAACGAGCACAGCTAAGGGACTTGCCAAGTCCGAGTCAGAACCCGAGTTCCCTGACTCTCCCCCTTAGATCAGTTATGCAGTTTAACTGTGACAAAATGGGGGTCTCCTCTGGGGGGCTGTGACTTTCACTTGCTGGGTTGAAATCCCCTAGTAGGACTGTCTGGAGACACACAGCCTCCCCTGGTGAGGGGATTCCAGGTCTCCCACCTCTCTTAGGCAGCAGGTCCTTCCTGGGACTGCCACGCCACCTTGCTCTAGAAAGCAGAGCGGTGCCGTCCTCAGAATGACGGACTAACCATGGCCAACACGGCTGCTCACCTGCTGTGTCCCAGATCTGTGCCAAGGATTTACACCAATTATCTCACTTGGTCCTCCAGGAACCCTGGGTAGTGGGCACTCTGACCACTCTTATTTTTCAGGTGAGGCAGTAGGAACAGAGAAGTGAATATGCCCTATGTATTATTCTGTTCTCATGCTGCTAATACCCAAGACTGGGTAATTTATAAAGAAAAAGAAGTTTAATAGACTCACAGTTCCACATGGCTGGGGAAGCTTCACAATCATGGTGGAAGTTGAAAGAGGACAAAGGCACATCTTATAGGGTGGCAGGCAAGACAGAGCATGTGCAGGGGAACTCCCCTTTAGGAAACCATCAGATCTTGTGAGAGATTTATTCACTATCATGAGAACAGCACAGGAAAAACCCATCCCCATGATTCAATTACCTCCCATTGGGTCCTTCCCATGACACGTGAGAACTATGGGAACTACAGTTTGAGATTCGGGTGGGGACACAGCCAAACTATATTACCCTAGGTTACACAGCTAGCAAGAGGCAAGGGCCAAGATTTGAGACCAGGACTGCCTGAGCTCCAGAGCAATGTCTTTAACTGTGAAAGACGGGCTATGCCGCATGTAGAAATCTCCTAGGAGGGGGGAAGCACAACTGTCAAAAATAATACCATAGACTAGGTGCCTTAAACAGCAGACATTTATTCCTCGCAGCTCTGGAGGCTGGGAAGTCCAAGATGAAGGAGCCAGTAGATTTGGTTTCTGGTGAGGGCCTACTTCCTGGCTTGCAGATAGAAGCTGTGCCTCCTTGCTGTGTCCTCACATCATGGAGGAGAGAGGGAGAAAGGGCTCTAGTCTCTGGCTCTTCTTTTATTTGTTTATTTTTTTTGAGACAGAGTCTCGCTCTCTCACCCAGGCTGGAGTACAATGGCACAATCCCAGCTCACTACAACCTCCACCTCCCAGGTTCAAGTGACTCTTCTGCCTCAGCCTCCTGAGTGACTGGGATTACAGGCACCCGCCATCATCCCCAGCTAATTTTTATACTTTTGTAGAGAGGGGGTTTCACCATGTTGGCCAGGCTGGTCTCAAACTCTTGACCTCAGGTGATCTGCCCACCTCGGCCTCCCAAAATGCTTAGATTACAGGTGTGAGCCACCACACTCAGCCTCTGGCTTTTGTTATAAGAACACTAATCCAATCCTAGAGGCTCTCCCTCATGACCTCATCTAAACCTAATCACCTCCCAAAGGCCCCATCTCCTAATACCATCACACTGGGGATCGAAGTTTCAACACATGAATTTAGGGGGTGGAGACACAAACTTTCAGTCAATAACAAGACCTCAAGCCCTTAGGTGCCAACCCATGGGTGTAGGGGCATTGATGAGAGAAACCAAAGAGCATTGAAGATAAACTGTCGGAGAACTTCGATGCTGCCAGGGCCCCTAGAGATCACCTGCAGATGATTGCAGAGTACAGCTGAGAGCATGCAGACCCAGGGAGAGGGAGCGATTTGTCCTGCATCGCCTGGCACAGCCAGAACTAGAACCGGAGTATCCTGGCTTCCGGTCCCACAGCTGTCCCCTTGACCTATCCCAGGTCACTGGCCGCTTCCTCCTTCTGCTTCACAATGTCAGCTCCCCACCCCCACCCCCCGGCCTGCCATGCCAGAGGCCTTCAGCAGAACCAATGATGGTCACCTCTTTTCAGCCTGTAAAGAAACTTCTTGGATTAAAAACAAACCCCCAAAACACAAGCAAGCAAGCAGTTCCTTAAATACTTCCTAGGATCTCTGAGTTATGCTCCTATGAGAGTGTCCATATAGATGCCCGATATGTTCACCTCGTGGTCTCACCCCATTCCCTTCATCCTCCAACCCCAGACCCTCCACTCACTGCTGTGTTTGAACCAGGGCAAAGAAACACTCAGCACCTGACTGGAGCTTCGGTTTGGCTTCCTGACCTTCAGAACTCAGTATGGTACAGCAGAGACAAATTCTTCCTAGGACTGGATTCCAGCACCCTCCACCTATCTCACGGCCACTCCTGTCCCACTACTGCGTGGAGTGAGACCATTTTCTCAACTGCTGAGGCCTCCAGTCTCCTGGGGTCTGTGTTCAAAGGGCAAATAAGCCACACCTGGTTGGGACTGCTTGGTGAGACCTGGGTAGGGAGTGTGATGGGGGTCACAGTCTTCTACACGTCCTGTCCCAGCTCTCAAGAGAAAGAGAGAGAGAGAGAGAGAAAGAAAGAAGGAAAGAGAGAGAGAGAAGGAAGGAAGGAAGGAAGGAAGGAAGGAAGGAAGGAAGAAGGAAGGAAGGGAGGGAGGGAGAAAGGAATGAATGAAGAAGGAAGGAAGGAGGGAGAAAGGAAGGAAGGAGGAAGGAAGGAGGAAGGAAGGAAGGAAAGAAGGAAGGAAGGAAATAAAGAAAGCCTTGATTTGTAGAGTTTGCTGATATCTATGAAATAAAAACTCCTACAATAACCAATTGCAAGCTACCAGTGGATTTAACATTCCTGAGCTCCTGTGAGCTGGCATGGGCTGGCTCCAACACATTATTGCCCCCTCCCAGGTGCCCACTCTTGGCTCTCAGATGTCCTTGATGCAGGGGAAGTTTTAATTTCGTCTCAGTCCCTGGCAGGTGTCTGATGAACAGTCTAGGAAAACCAAGTCCCAGACACTCCATCCCTCTCCAAGCTCCCAGGCTCCAGCCACAGGGGAAAGAAGCAAACATTGTAAAGCCTTGATGTCTAAAAGGGTTTTTTTCTTCCAAGGAGTTCAAAGCAGTTACTGTGTCTGATCTTACCTTATCCTCCCAACACCCTGGGGAAGTGGGGAGACAGCAGGAATGATGTTGGTATCCCTTCCTGAAAGATGAGGACATAAGGCCCAGAAAGTGTAGACAGCTTGTCCAAGGCCACCAGCAGTTGGGAGCAAAGGCTGGAATGGGGAGACCAACTATGCCTTGAATTCTCAGCCCCACGCCACTTCCCCCACTTCACCTTCGTGTAACCCACAACAAGAGGTGGATAGCAGTGGAGAAGCATGAGATCTCCGTGTGGTTTTCCCAGACAGAACCCAGGTCTCCACTTCCCAGCTCTCCTAGTCTCAGACCACACACCCATAGCGCCTCCAGGGTAGCTGGCCCGACAGGCTTCCCTTGGGGCTGTGCCAGCTCTGTCTCTGCTCATTAGCAGGTCTATTTCCAGGTGGATCCACCATAGGGTCATTAAAGCAATAAACAAGTTCCCAATTGTCGGTGGGCTAGACCTGGCACCCACCACTCCCTGCATTGTGCTGGAGTTCCAGCGGGCCCACACAGCCCAAGAAACAATGCCTCACTTCCTCCCAGGAAGCCGCAGACCCGAGCCAGCCTCCTGGGCTCGCCCACGTGCTCTGGCCAAGCCATTGTCTCCAAGTCTGAGGGGTCCAGCCATTCCCATGACCAGGGTAGTTGCATCCTCTTTGCCTTCCAAAAGTGGGAGGTCAAGAAGCCAGGGCAAAGAGCTATAGCTCCCCTAAGGATGCTACTGTCCAGATCCCCACAGTCCGTGGCCAGGAGTCCTGTGGCCTTTGCTGTGCATGTGAATTCCATGCCTCAGTCTTTCCCTGGAACAGGGATGCAAAGAAGACTCTAGAAACAAATGCGGGCCTGGGGCCCTAATCAAGCCCCCCGGCCTTCCTGGCACTTCTTTCTCTCTGTTTGGCTAGGATTGCTCCCCATACCCCAAAGTATTCATGCATTATATCCCCAGGGAGGGGCTCAGTGGCAGCAAGGGTAGGCCCATCAGTAATGTGAGCAATGAGGTCATCGAGCTTCGCAAAGAGTCCCTCACTTGGTGGAGGAGAAATTCTGGCAGCCCAGGGTTTTCTTTCTCAAGGGATTCTAATAGGCATTCAGCTGGGTCCCCCCTCAAAGTGGGTTATCAGGAGGCCTATGCCAGAATCACCACCAACCTGGATTTCTTTGTTTTCAATGTCTCTACTTGGAATTCCTTAGATGGAATGATGCCTTAGGGGAGGGAGAGAACTTGGGTGTGAGTGAGCTAGGATCTGAAAAAAGGATGGGATTCGGGGTAGGGTAGAGACCAAGAGGCCTAGGCCAGATTTGTGCAACCTCATGCACAGGCCAGGGAAAAGCTGGCCCTGGTGCTCCACAAGATGAGAAGTGTTAAGGTAGGAAGGCAAGGGTGCCAGAGACTCTGCGTGTAGTCTCTCGCTCTTGCCAAGACCCAGCAAGAGCTGGTGAGGCTGATGATGTATTTAGTTGAAGGCCAACTCTGCATCAGCTAAACACAATTTGCTAAGTCTGCTCAGCTTTGGCCCTGAGCCCTCACCCAGGGAAGCGCAGACAGCTTATCCATAGAGCTCGCTGGGAGGGGATACAGGAGCTCTGGATTGTGGAGGCTGATGGAGAAAGGTCCTGGCCGAGGACCTGGGGACTGGGGAGGACATGCTGGAAAAAGGATCTTTCACAGAGGAAGGAGCCCCTGCTATGAGATGGCTGTGGAGTAAAAGATGTTAGAAGTATGTGGAAGGGCCAGGCGCAGTGGCTCATGCCTATAATCCCAACACTTTGGGAGGCCAAGGTGAGTGGATCACCTGAGGTCAGGGGTTCGAGAGCAGCCTTGGCCAACATGGCGAAATCCCCGTCTCTACTAAAAATACAAAAATTAGCCAGGTATGGTGGCAGACACCTGTAATTCCAGCTACTTGGGAGGCTGAGGCAGGAGAATCACTTGAACCCTGAAGGGAGAGGTTGTAGTGAGCCGAGATCTCACCATTGCACTCCAGCCTAGGTGGCAGAGTGAGATTCATTCTCAAAAAAAAAAAAAAAAATGCCAGGCACGGTGGCTCATGCCTGTAATCCCAGCACTTTGGGAGGCCGAGGTGGGCGGATCACGAGGTCAGGCGATTGAGACCATCCTGGCTAACACGGTGAAACCCTGTCTCTACTAAAAATACAAAAATATTAGTCCGGTGTGGTGGCGGGCACCTGTAGTCCCAGCTACTTGGGAAGCTGAGGCAGGAGAATGGTGTGAACCCGGGAGGTGGAGCTTGCAGTGAGCCGAGATCGTGCCACTGTACTCCAGCCTGGGTGACAGAGCAAGACTCTGTCTCAAAAAAAAAAAAAGAAAAAGAAAAAAAGAAATATGCTGAAGGGATAAAAGGATGAGACACAAAAAACAGCCTCAAACTACAAACCCTCAGTGTAGGACACAGCAACACTTCCTTTCTTTTTAGATTAACTTTATTGAGTTAAATATAAAATAAAATATGAAATAAAAATGCACCGTTTTTATTTTATTTCATTGGAGATAGCATCTCACTTTGTCAGCAAGGCTGGAGTGCAGTGGTATGACTATAGCTCACTGCAGCCTCACTTCCTTGCCTCAAGCCATCCTCCTGCCTCAGCCCCCTGAGTACTTGGGACCACAGGTATATGCCACCATGCCCAGCTAATTTTCTTTCTTTCTTTCTTTCTTTTGTATGAAGGGGTCTCGCTATGTTGCCCAGGTTAGTCTTGAACTCCTGGCCTCAAGCAATCCTCCCTCCTTGGCCTCCCAAAGCACTGGGATTACAGATATGAGCCATCACACCTGGCCGAAATATACCAGATTCAAGTATACAGTTCGATGGGTTTTGACAAATATATAAACCCATGTAAACAGCACCACAATCTAGATATAAAACGTTTCTCTAAAAGTTCCCTCCTGCATCATTGCAGCCAGTCTCTCTGCAGCTACTGGCCCCAGGCAACCACTGATCTGGTTTCTGTCACTATTGAATAGTTTTGCAAATCTGAGATTTTCATATAAATGAACACATAGAATATGGGCTCTTTTGTGTGTGGCTTTCCTCAGTTGTTGCATGTACCAGTAGTTTGTTTCTTTTTATCGTTGAGTAGATTCTACTGTGTAGCTAGCTATACCACAGTTTGTTTATTCATTCACTTGTTGGTGGACATTTTGATTGTTTTCAGTTTGGGGCTGTGATGAAGAAAGCTTCCTTCAACATTTGTGTACAAGTCTTTGTGGATACAGCCAGACACGGTGGCTCACGCTTGTAATCCCAGCACTTTGGGAGGCCAAGGCAGGCGGATCACCTGAGGTCAGAAGCTCAAGACCAGGCTGGCCAACATGGCGAAACCTTGTCGTTACTAAAAAATACAAAAATTAGCCAGGCATGGTGGCGGGCACCTGTAATCCCAGCTACTCAAGAGGCTGAGGCAAAGAGAATTGCTTGAACCCAGGAGGCAGAGGTTGCAGTGAGCTGAGATTGCGCCACTGCACTCCAGCCTAGGTGACAGAGCGAGACCCTGTCTCAAAAAAAAACAAGTCTTTGTGGATACATATTTACATTTGTTTTAGGTATGTATCCAGCAGGGGAATTGTTGAATCTTGTGCTAAGTGTATGTTAACTTTATAAGAAATTGTGGCTAGGTGCAGTGGCTCATGCCTGTAATCCCAGCACTTTGGGAGGCTGAGGTGGGAGAATTGCTTGATCTCAGGAGTTTGAGACCAGCCTGGGCAACATAGTGAGACCTGGTCTCTACTAAAGTTTTTAAAAATTAAAAAAAATTAGCCAGGCATGGGGGTGTGCACCTGTGGTCCCAGCTACTTGGGAGGCTGATGTGGGAGGATCGCTTGAGCCCAGGAGGTCAAGGCCACACTGATCCGTGATCGTGCCACTGCACTCTAGCCTGGGGGACAGAGCAAGAACCTGTCTCAAAAAAAAAAAAAAAAAAAAAAAGAAGAGAAAAAAGAAAAAGAAATAGAAAAGAAAAAAAGAAATTGCCAAATTATTTTTCAAAGTGTCTGCAACATTTCAGGCATCCCCAGCAACTTATGAGAGTTCCAGTTGCTCTACATCTTTGTGCACTTTTGGTATTATCCATCTTTTTTCTTTTCTTTTTTTGAGGCAGTCTCTTTTTTTGAAAAAAATTTAATTTAATTTAATTTAATTTTAAGTTGTGGGATACAGCTGCAGGCTGTGCAGGTTTGTTACATAGGTAAACCTGTGCCATGGTGGTTTGCTGCACCTGTCAACCCATCACCTAGGTTTTTTTTTTTTTCCGAGACAGAATCTTGCTCTGTCACCCAGGCTGGAGTGCAGTGGCATGGATCTCGGCTCACCACAACCTCCACCTCCCAGGTTCAAATGATTCTCCTGCCTCAGTCTCCCGAGTAGCTGGGATTACAGGCGTCTGCCACCACACCCAGCTAAGTTTTGTATTTTTAGTATAGACAAGGCTTCACCATATTGGCCAGGCTGGTCTGGAACTCCTGACCTCATGATCCACCTGCCTGGGCCTCCCAAAGTGCTGGGATTACAGGCATGAGCCACCACGCTCGGCCATTGCCTAGGTATTAAGCCCTGCATGCATTAGGTATTTATCCTGATGCTCTCCCTCCCCCCATCCACCAACAGGCCTCGGTGTGTGTTGTTCCTCTTCTTGTGTCCATGTGTTCTCATTGTTCAGCTCCCACTTGTAAGTGAGAACATGCGGTGTTTGGTTTAGTGTTCTTGTGTTAGTTTGGGGCAGGCTCTTGCTCTGTCACCTAGGCTTGAGTGCAGTGGTGTGACCATAGCTCACTGCAACCTCAACCTTCCAGGCTCAAGCGATCCTCCTGTCTCAGCCTCCCAAGAAGCTGAGACCACAGGCTCGTGTCAACAAGGCTGGCTAATTTTTTAAGTTTTTGTAGAGATGGGGTCTCTCTACATTGCCCAGGCTTGTCTCGAATTCCTGGGCTCAGGCGATCTTCCTGCCTTGGCCTCCCAAAGTGCTGGAATTACAGGCGTTAGCCACCGTGCCTGGCCTCCATCTTTTTTCCTTTAATCATTCTACTGGGAGTGTAGTAAAGTCTCATTGTGGGTTTAATTTGCATTTCCTTGATAATTAATGATGTTTTTAAATTTTATTTTATTATTATTATTATACTTCAAGTTTTAGGGTACATGTGCACAACGTGCAGGTTAGTTACATATGTATACATGTGCCATGCTGGTGTGCTGCACCCATTAACTCGTCATTTAGCATTAGGCATATCTCCTAATGCTATCCCTCCCCCCTCCCCCCACCCCACAACAGTCCCCGGTGTGTGATGTTCCCCTTCCTGTGTCCATGTGTTCTCATTGTTCAATTCCCACCTATGAGTGAGAACGTGCAGTGTTTGGTTTTTTTGTCCTTGCAATTAATGATGTTTAATGTGCCTATTTGTCATTCATATATCTTTTTTGGTGAAATGACTGTTCAAATCTTTTGTCCATTAAAAACAATTGGGTTGGCAGGGTGCGGTGGTTCATGCCTGTAATTCCAGCACTTTAGGAAGCTGAGACGGGCAGATCACTTGAGATCAGGAGTTTTTGACCAGCCTGGCCAACATGGTGAAACCCCATCTCCACCTCCACTAAAAATACAAAAATTAGCCAGGCGTGATGGCACACGCCTGTAATCCCAGCTACTCGGGAGGCTGAGACAGGAAAATCGCTTGAACCTGGGAGACAGAGGTTGCAATGAGCCAAGATCATACCACTGCACTCCAGCCTCGGTGACAGAGCGAGATTCTGTCTCAACAAAACAAAACAAAACAATTGGATTACTTGTCTTCTTTTTATTGAATTATAAGTGTTCTTTATATATTCTGGATATGAATTCTTTGTCTGACATATGCATTGTAAATATTTCTCCCAGGTTGTGACCTGTGACTTCCCTGTTTTGTTTTTGTTTTTGTTTTTTGTTTTTTGTTTTTTTTGAGACAGAATCTCGCTCTATCGCCCAGGCTGGAGTGCAATGGCACGATCTCGACTCATTGCCACCTCCGCCTCCCGGGTTCAGGCGATTCTTCTGCCTCAGCCTCCCGAGTAGCTGGGATTACAGGCATGTGCTACCATGCCTGGCTAATTTTTGTATTTTTAGTAGAGACAGGTTTCACCATGTTGGCCAGGCTGGTCTTGAACTCCTGACCTCAGGTAATCCACCCGCCTCCACCTCCCAAAGTGCTGGGATTACAGGCATGAGCCAACACGACTGTCCTGACTTCCCTGGTTTTTTTTTTTAGAGGCAAGTTCTCACTCTGTCCCCCAGGCTGGAGTGCAGTGGTACAATCATAGCTCACGGCAGCCTCCAACCCCTGGGCTCAAGAAATCCTCCCACCTCAACCTCCCTAGTAGCTAGGACTATAGGCACGTGCCCCCATGTCTGGCCTCTTTTCATTTTCTGAAAGTGTGAAGAGCAGAAGATTCAAATTTCAACAGAGTCAGGCTTATTGTTTCCTTTATGGTGAATGCTTTTGGTGTCCTAAGAAACCACCGCCTACCCCAAAGTCAGAAAAAAATTTCTTTTATGTTTTCTTTTAGAATTTTACCATTTTAGCTTATATTTTTAGCTCTGTGATCCTTTTCTAGTTTATTTTTGTGTGTATTATGAGGAAGGGGTCAAGGTATATTTTTTTCCCCCTAAGACTATATAGTTGTTCTAGTATCATTTGTTGAAAAGATATCCTTTCCTCTTTAAACTACCCTGGCACATTTGTAAAAAAATCAATTGACAAAACATGTGTGGATCTATTTCTGGACTCTGTTCTGCTTTATTGATCTGTGTGTCCACCCTTATGCCAATACCATACTTGACTTGATTACTGTAGCTGTACAGTAGGTTTTGAAGTCAGGTGATATGAGTCCTATTTTGCTCTTCTTTGTCAAGATAGTTTTGGATATCCTAGGCCCTTTGAGTTTCCACATAAATTTTAGAATTAGCTTGTCAATTTCTGCAAAAATTACTGGATAATTATTATTGGGATTGTATTGAATCTATATATCAATTTTGGGAGAATTAACATTTTAACAATATTGAGTCGGCCGGGCATGGTGGCTCACGCCTGTAATCCCAGCACTTTGGGAGGCCGAGGTGGGCCTCAGGATCACCTGAGGTCGGGAGTTCGAGACCAGCCTGACCAACATGGAGAAACCCCGTCTCTACTAAAAATACAAAATTAGCCAGGCGTGGTGGCACATGCCTGTAATCGCAGCTAGTAGGGAGGCTGAGGCAGGAGAATCGCTTGAACGTGGGAGGCAGAGGTTGTGGTGAGCCGAGATCGTGCCATTGCACTCCAGCCTAGGCAACAAGAGCGAAACTCCAACTCAAAAAAAAAGAAAAAGAAACACAATATTGAGTCTTCCTATTTGATGGGTAATTTTAGGTGTCAACTTGACTAGATTAAGGGTACCTAGAAACCTGATAAAGCATTATGTTTGGGTGTGTCTGTGAAGGTGTTTCTGTGTGAGCTACTGCGCCTGACCAACAGTTCTAATATTAAATATTGAAATAAATGTGAGCTCTACATACATTTAAAAAAGATTAGGGCTAGGAGTAGTAGCTCATGCCTGTAATCCCAGCACTTTGGGAGGCCAGGGAGGACCACTTGAGGCCAGAAGTTCAAGACCAGCCTGAGCAAGAACCCATCTCTACAAAAAAATTAAAAATTAGCTGGATATGGTAATGCGCACCTGTAGTTCTAGCTATTCAGGAAGCTGAGACAGCAGGATCGCTTGAGGCCAAGAGTTCGAGGCTGCAGTGAGCTATGATCACACCACTGCACTGCACTCCAGCCTGGGCGACAGAGTGAGACCCTGTCTCTAATAATAACAATAGTAGTAATGTTTGTAGGGCTGGGAGCATTGGCTCATGCCTGTAATCCCAGCACTTTGGGAGGCTGAGGCAGGCAGATCACTTGAGGTCAGGAGTTTGAAATCAGCCTGGCCAATATGGTGAAACCCCACCTCTGCCAAAAATACAAAATTAGCCAGGCATGGTGGTGCGCGCCTGTAATCCCAGCTACTCGGGTAGCTGAGGCAGGAGAATTGTGTGAACCTGGCAGGTGGAGGTTTCAGTGAGCTAAGATTGTGCCACTGCATTTCAGCATGGGTGACAGAGTGAGACTTGGTCTCAAAATAATAATAATAATGATAATGTTTGTAAGAATAAAAAATAGTAAGACATTTAAAAATTAGATGTGGCTGGGTGCGGTGGCTCATGCCTGTAATCCCAGCACTTTGGGAGGCTGAGGCAGGCAGATCACTTGAGTTCAGGAGTTTGAAATCAGCCTGGCCAATACGGTGAAACCCCACCTCTGCCAGAAATACAACATTAGCCAGGCATGGTGGTGCGCGCCTGTAATCCCAGCTACTCGGGTAGCTGAGGCAGGAGAATTGTGTGAACCTGGCAGGTGGAGGTTTCAGTGAGCTAAGATTGTGCCACTGCATTTCAGCATGGGTGACAGAGTGAGACTTGGTCTCAAAATAATAATAATAATGATGATGTTTGTAAGAATAAAAATTAGTAAGACATTTAAAAATTAGATGTGGCTGGGCGCAGTGGCTCATGCCTATAATCCCAGCACTTTGGGAGGCCAAGGCGGGCGGATCACGAGGTCAGGAGATCGAGATCATTCTGGCTAACACAGTGAAACCCCGTCTCTACTGAAAAATAGAAAAAAATTAGCCGGGCGTGGTGGCAGGCACCTGTAGTCCCAGCTACTCGGGAGGCTGAGGCAGGAGAATGGCCTGAACCCAGGAGGTGGAGCTTGCAGTGAGCCGAGACTGAGCCACTGCACTCCATCCTAGGAAACAGAGAGAGACTCCGTCTCAAAAAAAAAAAAAAGAAAAAAAAGAACTGCATCATTTACTGTCATGCATGTTTATAATTATCATAGACTGGATGAATTTTTATTTTATAATAATTTATGTGCATTAATTCATTTTCCAATCTGCTTATTCCAGTTCAGGGCTGCAGGTGGCTGGACCCTGTATGTTTGTTTGTTGGTACTAATGGCACCTTCTCATTTCATTTTCCAATTGTTTATTGCTAGTATATAGAAATACATCTGATTTTTGCATATTGGCCTTGCATTCTGCAACTTTGCCCAGTTCACCTATTGGTGCTACCAGTTTTGTTTATTGCTTTTGTTAATTGCTTAGGGTTTTCTATATATGTGTCATATTAACTGAATAAAGATGGTTTGGACTGGGCGTGGTGGCTCACGCCTGTAATCCCAGCACTCTGGGAGGCCGAGGTGAACGGATCACCTGAGGTCAGGAGTTTGAGACCAGCCTGGCCAACATAGCGAAACCCCACCTCTACTAAAAATACAAAAATTAGCTGGGCATGGTGGTGTGTGCCTGTAGTCCCAGCTACTTGGGAGGCTGAGGCAGGAGAATCGCTTGAACTCAGGAGGCGGAGGTTGCAGTGAGCCGAGATCGCGCCATTGCACTCCAGCCTGGGTGATAGAGAGAGACTGTCTCAAAAAAAAAAAAAAAAAAAACAGATAGTTTTGGCCAGGAGGGGTGGCTCATACCTGTAATCCCAGCAATTTGGGAGACCAAGGCGGGAGGATTGCTCGAGCCCAGGAGTTTGAGACCAGCCTGGGCAACATAGTGAAACCCCATCTCTATTTAAGAAAAAAAAAAAGTTTTTTTAATTAAAAAAAGACATTTCTTCCTTTATTAGCTGTATGCCCCACATTTCTAGATCACCCCACTTGGTCTTGATATACTATTTGTTTGTGTATCGCGGGTTTTTTTTTTTGAGATGGAGTCTTGTTCTGTTGCCCAGGCTGGAGTGTAGTGGCGCAATCTCAGCTCACTGCAACCGCTGCCTCCCAGGTTCAAGCAATTCTCCTGCCTCAGTCTCCCAAGTAGCTGGGATCACAGGCGTGCACCACCACACCTGGCTGATTTTTTTTTTTTTTTTTTTTTTGAGATGGAGTTTTGCTCTTGTTGCCCAGGCTGGAGTGCAATGGCACAATCTCAGCTCATTGCAACCTCCTTCTCCTGGGTTCAAGTGATTCTTCTGCTTCCGAGTAGCTGGGATTACAGGCATGTGCCACCACGCCCGGCTAATTTTGTATTTTTAGTAGAGATGGGGTTTCTCCATGTTGATCAGGCTGGTCTTGAACTCCCAGCCTCAGGTGATCTGCCCGCCTCGGCCTCCCAAAGCACACCTGGCTAATTTTTGTGTTTTTTAGTGGAGACAGGATTTCACCATGTTGGCCAGGCTGGTCTCGAACTCCTGATCTCATGTGATCCACCCACCTCGGCCTCCCAAAGCACTGGGATTACAGGCATGAGCCACCACACCTGGCCTCCTTATAATATCTTTGGTTGTGGTATCAGGGTAATACTGGATTCATAAAAATTAATTGGGAAATATTCCTTCTTTCTCTGTTTTCTGAAATAATTAATGTATGATTAGGATTATTTCACCTTTAAGTGTTTGATAGAATTTTGCCAGTTTTTAAAAATAACTGCTTCAAGTCTTTAATATATAGAAGGCTATTCAGATTTTCTATTTCTTCTTGGGCCAGTTCTGGTAATATGTGTGTTTCAAGTAATTTGTCCATTTTATCTAAGTTGCCAAATTTATTCTATAAAGTTGTTAATAATACTCCTTTTTAATCCTTTTCATGTCTGTAGAATCTGAAGTGATATGCCCCCCACCCTTCATTCCTGATATTGGTATTTTTGTCTTTCCTCTTTTGTTGTTGATCAATCTAGCTAGAGGTTTATCAATTTCATTGGTCTTCTCATGGAAACAGCCTTTGCTTTCATTGATTTTCTTTACTGTTGTTCTGTTTATTATTTCACTGATTTCCACTCTTATCTTTATTATTTTCTTCCTAGTATTGCTTTTTGAAGGCCATAGAAGGGCATAGGCTTCTACTCCCATCTCCAATCATAAATCACAGAAGGTCTGAGTTAAAAGGGATCTTAGAAACAATCTTGTCCACCCCTTTCATTTTATAGGTGAACAGAAATTCAGAGGGGGAAGTGGTTTTCCTCCGGCCACTTAGCTTTCATCTATGGTCAATTCATTTATTCATGTATTCATTCCTTTCTTCATTAATATGTTCTTATTCATTCATGTTAGATATATTTGTTGAACTTATACTACGGACCAGAGGCTGTTCTAAGACCAAAGATGAATAAATTGCAGCCTTTGCTTTCAAAAATCTTCCATCCTAATGAGGGAAGTAGCAAGTTCTCAGCCAATGCAGTGACAAGTGCCATAGCAGAGGTAGTCTCAGAATGCCATGAAAGCACCGAGAAAGTGATTCAAACTCTGATGGATGATGTGAAGATGAGGATGGGGGCAGAAGATGCTCAGGGAAGACTTCAAAGAAGACGTTTAAAATAGGTCCACCAGGCAAGTAACTTTTTCACTCCAGAGAGAGCTTTGTGAATCTACTAAAACTTTGTCTAAATAAGGCAAATGGAAAGCAATACAAGTCTCAATAAGCAGCCACCAATTAATCAATTAGCTAATTCGGTGTCCAGCATCAGCTATGAGGATTGGGAAAACACAGATTATGCGATGATTCAATCACGCTTTCCAGAGAATAAATATTCTCTCAGATTCCCATTTATTGATTTTCTATTTTGCAAGTGGCTGATCCCATCCATAGAAGGTAAATATATTTAGAAGCTATAGAGTTATCGGCCAGGCGAGGTGGCTCATGCCTGTAATCCCAGCATTTTGGGAGGCCGAGGTGGGCGGATCACCTGAGGTCAGGAATTCAAGACCAGCCTGGCCAACATGGCAAAACCTGTCTCTACTAAAAATACAAAAATTAGCTGGGCGTGGTGGTGTGCACCTGTAGGCCCAGCTACTTGGAGGGGCTGAGGCAGGAGAATCACTTGAACCCAGAGGCAGAGGTTGCAGTGAGCCTAGATTGCGCCACTGCACTCCAGCCTGGATGACAGAGCAAGACTCCGTCTCAAACAAACAAACAAACAAACAAACAAGAACCTGTAGAGTTATCTTAGCGATATTGACATCCTTTTCTATTATCTCCTTATCTATTGCTGCATAACAAATTACCCCAAAACTTAGTGACTTAAATAATAAATATTTTTCATCTTACACAGTTTCTGTGGGTCAGGAATTTGGGAGTGGCTTAGTTGAGTGATTCTGGTTCAGGGTCTCTCATGAGGTTTTTCATGAAACTATTGGCTGGGGTTGCAGTCTCTAAAGACTTGTCTGGGACTAGAGGATCTTATTCCAAGCTCACTCACCTGGCTGTGGGCAGGAGGCCTCAGTTCCTTGCCATGTGGGTCTTTCTACAGAGCTGCTTGATATGGTGGGCGGCTTACCCCACAGCAAGTGATTGAAATGCCACTCTGCATTTCATGACCTGATTCATCCCGCATTGTAACTTCTGCCTTATTCTATTCATTAGAAGTGAGTCATAGCTGGGCACAGTGGCTCACTCCTGTAATCCCAGCACTTTAGGAGGCCTAGGCGGGTGGATCACTTGAGATCAGGAGTTTGGGACCAGCCTGACCAACATGGTGAAACCCCGTCTCTACTAAAAATACAAAAATTAGATGGACGTGGTGGCAGGCACCTGTAATCCCAGCTAATCGGGAGGCTGAGGCAGGAGAATTGCTTGAACCCGGCAGGCGGAGGTTGCAGTGAGCCGAGATCTTGCCATTGCACTCCAGGCTGGGCAACAAAGCAAAAAAAAAACAAAAAACAAAAAAGTGAGTCACAAAGTCTCAAAAAGAAAAAAGAAAAAAGAAGTGAGTCACAAACCACAAAGTCCAGCCCAAACTCAATGAAAAGGGATTACTCAAGGGTAAGGACATGAACACCAAGAGGGGGATTACTGGGGGACATCCTGGAGATTTACTACCACAGATATCTTTATGGGCTGACTACAATTTTAATAATCTGGAAGTTTAGTGACATTGAGATTTAAATGGTCAATCCATCTTTGCCTCATTTTCCACACAGCACTGTAAGGAAAAAGTCCTAATTCTTAGAAATGAAATTATTTCCTAGAATCTTGTCCTCTTTAAATATATTGTACTATTATATACTAAAATAAAAAATAATGGTTAGACCTACACATATGCAGTGAAAAAAAGAAAAGAAAACAAACAACAAACAAAAGTAATGGGAGTTTTTATTGAGAACCCAATCCAGTCCCATGATGGGAGAAATATCTTATATATTAGAAGGCAACTTCAAAAAATCTTTGGCCAGCCGAGGTGGCTCACGCCTGTAATCCCAGCATTTTGGGAGGCCCAGGCAGGCGGATCATGAGGTCAGGAGTTCAAGACCAGCCTGGCTAACATGGTGAAACCCCGTCTCTATTAAGATACAAAAAATTAGCCAGGTGTGGTGGCACGCACCTGTAATCCGAGCTACTCAGGAGGCTGAGGCAGGAGAATCGCTTGAACCTGGGAGATGGAGGTTGCAGTGAGCCCAGATCATGCCATTGCACTCTAGTTTGGGCAACAGGGCAAGACTCCGTCTCAAAAAAAAAAAATATTCTGGAAGGATGTATCCTTTGGCAGTTTGGAATTACGCAGGAGTATGACTCTTACTGTTGCTTATTCTAGAGACTGGGGATGTAGGCATGAATAAGACAGAGGTGAGTGGGGGATGAGGAGCTATTGTCATCTTATTGAGTAAGAGCAAGGCCAAATTCACAGTGTTAGGTTCAACAGAGTATTCTGTAGTGGAGGAATCTGCAGGTTTTCACGACAACCTCTGTCTGCAGAGGGGCAGGGCTCTGGAAATTACCTTCAACAGCTGAAGAAATCCCTGAAAATGTGACTGGGCAGTGTGGAAGTAAACATTTTAAGGGCTAACTTGGAGTTCTAAGCCAATGATTGAAGATTTGGAAAGGAATCATGTTGTTGATTGGGGGTGCAGGGGTCACATGGCTATTGGTATAGATTTCACTGATGAAAGCCTGCTTTTAACAGAATAGATTCTTCAGCTTGCATAGCTAGTTCGTCATGAAAAATATATTTAAAGTGGGAACCTGTAGGCCGAGCCAAGTGACTCATACCTGTAATCCCAGGACTTTGGGGGGTCAAGGCAGGTGGATCACATAAGAACAGGAGTTTGAGACCAGCCTGCCCAAGATGGTGAAACCCCATCTGTCTCTACTAAAAATACAAAAATTAGCTGGGCATGGTGGTGCACGTCTGTAATCCCAGCTACTCGAAAGGCTGAGGCAGGAAAATCGCTTGAACCTGGGAGGCGAAGGTTGCAGTGAGCCAAGATCGCACCACTGCACTCCAGCCTGGGCAACAGAGTGAGGCTGTCTCAAAAAAAAAAAAAAAAAAAAAAAGTTGGACAGGTACTAAGAACCCTGATAATTTTTCTGAGACTGAAGAGAACAGAACACAGTGAGCAGGCTTGTGCAGACTCAGAGGCCCAGCTGTGAAGTGTGGAAGATCACCCACCCTCATGCACCCTGGTGACAAGGAAGGGCTCTTACCTACAGAAGTAACCCAGCAGGGATATATCTAATTATTTTCTAGAAGGATATGATTTAAGGATTGCCATGTACTCCTTGGCTCTCAAAATAAAATAAGATTTTTTTCAGGGAGAACTATATGTTAAAGAGAACTGATTCAGGTGCAGTAACAAAGGCCAATGTCACAGTGGATTATACAAGATAGCTGTTTATTTGTCTCTCAGGTAATTGTCCAAAAATAAGCACTACAGGGCTTTCTGGAGGCTCCATGGTATCAGGAACCTAGATTCCTCACCCATTTTCTTTTCTTTTCTTTTTTCTTTCTTTCTTTTCTTTTTCTTTTTCTTTTTTTTTTTTTTTTTTTTGAGACAGAGTCTTGCTCTGTCACCCAGGCTGGAATGGTGTAGGGGCATCGATCTCGGCTCATTGCAAGCTCCACCTCCCAGGTTCATGTATTTCTTCTGCCTCAGCCTCCTGAGTAGCTGGGACTACAGGCGCATGCCATCACACCCAGCTAATTTTTGTATTTTTAGTAGTGACAGGATTTCGACATGTTGGCCAGACTGGTCTTGAACTCCTGACCTCAAGTGACCGCCCTCCTCGGCCTCCCAAACTACTGGGATTACAGACATGAGCCACTGCGCCTGGCCCTCACCCATTTTCAATGCCCTTTTCTCATCTCATGGCTTAGGATACCAGCTATAGCTCCAGCCACCATGCCTGCATTCCAGCCAGCAGAAGGGAGAAAGAGAGAATGGGCAGAATATACCCTTTCCTTTAATGGCCATAACCAGGAAGTTGCATATATCCCTGTGCTTAGGTCCTATAGGGCAGAACCGGGAAGTATGCATCCCTCTGTTTAGGTCCTATAGGGCCAAACCAGCAAGCAAATATCCCTCTGCTTAGGTTTCTATAGGGCAGAACCTAGGGACATGGCTGTACTTAGCTGCAAGGGAGACTGGGATATGCAACCTTTTTTTTTTTTTTTTTCGCTCTTGTTACCCAGGCTGGAGTGCAATGGCGTGATCTTGGCTCACCACAACCTTCTCCTCCCGGGTTCAAGGGTTCTCCTGCCTCAGCCTCCCAAGTAGCTGGGATTACAGGCATGCGCCACCACAGCTGGCTAATTTTGTATTTTTAGTAGAGATGGGATTTCTCCATGTTGGTCAGGCTGGTCTCGAACTCCCGACTTCAGGTCATCCACTCGCCTTGGCCTCCCAAAGTGCTGGGATTATAGGTGTGAGCCACCTCACCCGGCTATATGCAGCCTTTTAACGTATCATTATTTTCTTAGCTAAAACTTATATTATTCTAGAAGGAAGAAACAGATACTTGAGGACAATTACCAATCTATGACATAAGAACCTCCTGTAATCTTGCCTAAAGGAAGGCAAATAAGATTGGTAATAGATAAACATCCTTTTAATAGACTATAAACTTTATTATAGCAAGGAGCTTCACACTTTTTGGTCAGTACTTTGTCTTCATTGCCTAGCAGAGCTTTGGCATGTAGGAGGGTTCCAATACGTATTTATCAGGTGAATGAATAAATGAGAGGCAGCTAGATGTAAGAAGAATTCCAGAAAATACTTCACTGAGCCTCCTCCCAAAAACTTGTGCTGCAAGGATCCAGTCCACTGTATTTTGTTTGTTTGTTTGTTTTAGTTTTTTTTTTTTTCTTTTTAGATGGAATCTTGCTCTGTCTCCAGGCTAGAGTGCAGTGGCATGATCTCGGCTCACCGCAACCTCCACCTCCTGGGTTCAAGTGATTCTCCTGCCTCAGTCTCCCGAGTAGCTGGGACTACAGCACCACCACACCCGCTAATTTTTGTATTTTTAGTAGAGATGGGGTTTCACCAGGTTGGCCAGGATGGTCTTGATCTCTTGACCTCGTGATCCACCCTCCTCGGCCTCCCAAAGTGCTGGGATTACAGGCATGAGCCACCGTGCCTGGCCTTCCACTGTGTTCCTGTTGTTGTTGTTAAAATTAAACCTACAGAGATATGTTGAGAGCTCTTCCCAAAGTGAAATTTCGTACCTACCACACCCAACCTGACAAGTAATATGCTCTTTTTATAGGTTTGGTCTAATGTCCAGTGATGGTACATTTCAGATGCACATAGAGCAATTTGATGGCATATGATGTGAGAAAGCCAGGCTGTTCCAGCAGTTCAGATGGGTTATCACTATAACTATCTTCCTGATGGAGTTTTTCCCCAGGATCTCTTATCTTACACAGATTAATCCTTATAGACAGGAGGGGCCAGCTTTGGTGCAAATGGAGCATCTAGAAGGGGTGGTTGGAAGGGCCCACTCCAGAAGGCAGAGAGGGCAGCCAGCCTCCTCCTCCACTTAGGGCCTGGGTTAGCCTTGAAGCTCTCCCCTGAGGGCTGTGTTTCCAGCCTCTGCGTTTAATAAGCAGAGAGAATTGAAAACAGTAAAAAAATGGAAGATAATACAACAGTCAATAAAAAGATAAAGTAAACTAAGAAGAAATAAAAAAAAGGTGGTAAAAACAGTTAAAAAAAGAGGGCGGCAGGCAATAAAGTGATAATATGAACTAAAAATAAACCAAATAAGCTAAAAAGAAATTAAAAGCTAGAACAAAGACATGACAAGGCAAAGGTTAGAAATAAAAGATGCGGAATAAAAAGATAATACAATAACAATAAATCTAGATAAGATGAGATCAAAGAAAATAGTATAAAGTAGCTAGAAGACAAAACAGAGATTAAAAATGACTGAGATAAGCAAAATCATTAAAACCAGAAAAATAAAAAGACTAAAGGGATTAAAACAATAAAATGTATTCAACCAATACCAAAAGAAATAAAAAATTTAAAAGACTGAGCTATGGGGGAAGGGAGTAATAGATCAATTTTGCTTCAAGTTAAAATAATGCTGCAATATAAGTACAAACATATCCCTCATTCAGATGCATTCTTTGGTCCAGGCAACCTAAGGCTATGCAGACCTTCCAGCATCTAAGCCTCTATATATTAATTTGCTAGGGTTCCCCTAACAAACTATTACAGACACGGTGGCTTAAACAACAGAAATTCATTTTCTCACATTCTAGACAGTAGAAATCCATGGTCAAGGTGTAAGCAGGTTGGTTCTTTCTGGGGGAAATACCCGTTCCAGGCCTCTCTGCTTAGCTTGTACATGACTGTCTTCTGCCTGTGACTCTTCCCATCAGCATCTCTTTGTATGTCTCTGCGTCCAAATATCATCTTGTAAGGACACCAGTCACATTGGATTCGGACCCACTCTCGTGATCTGATTTTAATTTATTTTTATTTTTTTTTAATTTTTTAATTTTTTATTTTATTTATTTTTTTTGAGACAGAGTCTCGCTCTGTCACCCAGGCTGGAGTGCAGTGGCTTGATCTCAGCTCACTGCAAGCTCCGCCTCCCGGGTTCACGCCATTCTCCTGACTCAGCTTCCCAAGTAGATGGGACTACAGGCGCCCACCACCATGATTTTAATTTAATTACCTCTGTAAAGATCCTGTCTCCAAATATGGTCACATTCTAAAGTGCTGGGAGTTAGAACATGTGAATTCGGGGAGTGGAGGAGGACAGAATTCAGCCCATAACAGCAACCCTGCAAGAAGTCCCTGGGAGGATCCCTTTGGGCAGAGAGGTGAAGGCAGCAAGCAGAATCTTTGACCTCTTTCTTGCCTAATTTGGGGCCTCCGACACAACTGACTTTTTTTCTGAGTAATATTTTTTATTTCACTTGGACCCACAAGTCAGTGAGGCTGAGCCCTAGAAGGACAGGTCTCTACAGTCCCTAACCCATTTTCTCTTATGATGTTAGGGTTGCTGAGAGCAAGAAATGTTCTGAAGGTCCGTTCTCCTATGGCTAATGAAGAGGCCCACCCATGAGGCCAGGCCTGATGTGCTTGGCTGCTCGTGCCAAGAAACTTCTGCAACCGGGAGCAACACCTTGTGAGATGAAAGGTGTTTTCTAAATCCCCTAGGATAGACATCATGTTCTTCAGCAGGATTTTGGAGCTTTGTACATCTCACTGTCTTCTGCCTTTTCCAAACAGGGAAGCCTGGGATAGCTGGTCATCACTGGTTACCAGAACACCCCACTCTTGGGAATGGGTTTTCTGTACTTGGTTTCTCTCTTGCTCAAAGGTGAATGTCTTAATCCATTCAGGCTGTTAACAAAATACCTTAGACTAGGTAATTTATAAACAACAGACATTTATTGCTCAAAATTCTAGAAGCCAGAAAGTCCGAGATCAAGATGCTGGCAGACTCAGGGTCTTAGGATGGCCCAGTCTTCATAGATGGCACCATCTGTGTCCTCCACATGACTGAAGGGGCAAACAGGCTCCTCAAGCCTCTTTCATAAAGGCACTAATCTCATTCATGAAGAGTCTGCCTTCATGACCCCTCCAAGGCCCCACATCTTAATAGGATCCCAGTGGGGATTAAGTTTCAACATATGAATTTGAGGGGACACCATCATCTAGACCATAGCACATGCTCAGAAATGTGTGCAGTGGAGAGGTCTGTCTCTCTCTTTCTCTCTCTCTCTCTCTCTCTCTCACACACACACACACACACACACACACACGCACGCATACATTGAGCAGGCAGACAGAGCCCAGCCCCAAGCTCCTCCTGACAGGGCTGGCTTTATGGATGTGCAACCTGTGCACTGTGCTCAGAGGGCCCTACACTTGATGCTCTGCTTTTGCCATCTTGAAATTCTTAACAATTTTGGAACATTTCTTTCTTTTTTCTTCCTTCTTTCCTTCTTTCCTTCCATCCCTCCCTCCCTCCCCCTCCTTTCTTTTCTTTTTTCTTTCTTTCTTTTCTTTCTTTTTCTTTTTCTCTTTCTTTCTCTCTTTCTTCCTTTCTCTCTTTCTCTTTCTTTTTCTTTCTTTCTTTTTCTCTTTCTTTCTTTCTCTTTCTTCCTTTCTCTTTCTCTTTCTTTCTTTCTTCTCCTTCCTTCCTTCCTCTCTCTCTCTCTCTTTCTTTCTTTCTCTTTCTCTCTCCTTCCTTCCTTCCTCTCTCTCTCTCTCTTTCTTTCTTTCTCTTTCTCTGTTTCTTTCAGGGTCTCATGGGTCTCTGTCACCCAGGCTGGAGTGCAGTGGCACGATCTCCACCTCTTGGGTTCAAGCAATTCTCCTGCCTCAGCCTCCCAAGTTGCTGGGACTACAGGTGTATGCCACCATGCCAGGCTAATTTTTGTATTTTTAGTAGAGATGGGGTTTCACCATGTTGGCCAGCTAGTCTTGAACTCCTGGCCTCAAGCGATCCACCCGTCTCAGCCTCCCAAAGTGCTGAGATTACAGGTGTGAGCCACCGCGCCTGGACTAATGTTGGAACATTTCATTTTGTACTGGACCCTGCAAGCTATGTAGACAGTCCTGCCTTCACTTCTTCACTTTCCACCACGTCCTGATGAGAAGGGATGCAGAAGCCACCAAGCTTTTTGACCGTGAGGTGTCCATCCAGGGCAGAGACTTGATCTTTGGGTACAGTTCTTAGCATAAGGTAAGCCCTTTGGAAAAAGAGGAGGAAGCACTCAAATGCCTTTGATTCAGTCCCCAGGGCTTCCTGTCTAGTCTTAACTCCCCAGTGAGCCCTCAGCTAAGGCTTGAATCTTGGAGTTGCCCACCTCTAATCTCCAGCCTTCAGACTTGGCCTGTCCCAGCCCTGTTCCCTTTGGGATCCCTGGCAGAAACCCAAAGGGGCGGAGAGGGGAGGGATGAAAGGAAAGTGAAAGTATCAGCCTCTCTGGATGCCCCTTCTCTTCCTCCTCCTCCCTCATCTCCCCCCCACCCCCCGCTGTTGTCATGGAGACCAGAACAAAGCCTCTCTTTCGCCTCTTTTCTGGATTGTTAATTGTCTTTACTCCATGGTGCCTTTGTTAATTGTTGCCAGTCCCTCCCAGGATGGGGATCTAGGTCTCCTCAAGGCAGGAAACAGGGATTTAAAAAAAGTTTGGGGATGGGTGTGGGGCACTGTAAGCCAGGTGGTAGGTGGGGAGGAGAAGAGGACTGAGGAGGCGGCCTAAGGATTTTCTAAATGGCCCAGGCTTCTGGGAGGGAAGCACCTTCTGCATCTCTTTTCCTCCCTCCCTCACCTGCCTTTGCTGGTGTGGCCCAGTGGCCCCTCTCTGTGGGAAGAGACAGAAGAAAATGAAAAAAACCACCATTGTGTGTATTCGCATGCGTGTGGGCGTCCTCTCAGGGGGAAGTGGCCCTGTCTTTGCACTGCCCCCATTCCAAGTAGATCAGGAAAACATGCGGCCTGATTGTTGGCCCTACACTTAGGACTCCAGATAATTACATTCACAGAGAGTGTGCACTAGCCCTGGAGGTGAGAATGACTACTCCAGCCCTCTTCCCAAGCTCATTCCCTGTGGCAGCTGAACACGTGAAGGATGGAGTGGAAAAGCTCTGGAAGTGTGCATGTGTGTAAAAAGGACTCAAGTCGCCAACATTAGCTGAACCCACACACTGAGTGGGGTCCCTGCGTGTTTCTGTGCCTGCGTGTTAAGGAGTGGTGGTATGGGTTGGGTCCTCTGTCCCTGGGAGATTCTGTGCCTGCGTGTTAAGGAGTGGTGGTATGGGTTGGGTCCTCTGTCCCTGGGAGAAAGTCCGCCACTCAGGAAATAGGAGGCTGACTGGCATACGGAAAGCAGAGAGCTGCTTCAACTTCTAGGGTCTAGGCTAGAATCTAGGGTACGGAATAATACTCAGCTGCTGTTTATTATATGTTTCAGATTCCAAGGACCAGAAAACCCCACAAGCAGCAAGGCAGCATGGTATGCTGGACAAAGCATGGATCAGAGGGCCGGAAAGCCTGGGTTCAGATGTCTGATGGTGCCCCTTCACTGTGTGGTCTTGGGAAATTTCCCTCCCCTTTCTGAGTATCTTTTTCCTCATCTGTGAAAGGAACTGTCCCGGTCTTCACAGAGCCGCTGATAGCTTAAGCGAGTCCTGTGTGTAACGTGCAGGCTTGAGTGAGCTATCCCTCCTTCTTGTGCCTCAGTCTTCTCTATTGCACAAAGAGGGAGCTGGAGGAGATGGTTCTGGACGGCCAATTCCTTCCAGATCTTTTTTTTTTTTTTTTGAGATGCAGTCTCGCTCTGTCGCCCAGGCTGGAGTGCAGTGGTGCGATCTCGGCTCACTGCAACCTCCACCTCCCAGGTTCACGCCATTCTCCTGCCTCAGCCTCTGGAATAGCTGGGACTACAGGTGCCCGTCACCACGCCTGGCTAATTTTTTGTATTTTTAGTAGAGACGGGATTTCATCGTATTAGCCAGGATGGTCTCGATCTCCTGACCTCATGATCCGCCCGCCTCGGCCTCCCAAAGTGCTGGGATTACAGGCATGAGCCACCGCACCCGGCTTCTTCCAGATCTTGTACTGTCAGATTCTGATAGGCAAATGAAACAGCTGTGACTTAATCTGTTACTTTCTTGATTGGCTCCATACCTGAGTGTGACTCCCTAGAAAAGCCCAAGTAGAACTGAGTAGAAGCCCACCTCAGGTCAGCCTGAAGGCAGTGCTTGCCTCTGAGAAGAAGCCCCACGGGCTGTGCCATGGTGCAAGACCCCCTGAGTGGGGCACCTCTGACTCACATCTCTAGCTATAGCCATCTGGAAAAGCCCTTGCTCAGACAGAAGGATGAAGAGTTGGTACCAGACAAACCTCATGAGGCTGGGCCTACCCTGATCTGATCCGACCTACAAGCACCCTCTTTCTAAGCTTTGCAGGGAAAATGGCCCTGGGTTAGGTGGGGGTGGGTGAGGGGACAGGCAGGACCCTTTTGAAGCAGAGCAGTGAGACCAGGATTCCAGTATGCTTCTTCCTGTTCTCAACCCGTGGGCTTTTGCTTTTTCTCTCAGAGCTTTCACTCTGGTGCTTGAGGAAAGTAATTCACACCATTTTGTGAATTTAATTCTTTTATTATCTCTCCCAAGGGCATTTGCATTTTACACCTTGTCTCTAACCTCGTAGGTTAAAGGGAAAATCAGAAACCTAGCACACCTGGGCACCGCAACCCCCACCTGTGTTTCAGGCTATGGCCACACACAAATCAGATAGGAGCCCTCGGAGCCCCCACTCCCTGAAGCCAAGCAGAGTCCTTCCTTCAGCAGGTATTCTGGAAATTAAATGGAGACTAGAGCAGACAAGGTCTCCCCTCACAGAGCCTATAGTCTAAAGGGAAGCAGGAAAAATACAAGAGGCCAGGCACGGTGGCTCACGCCTGTAATCCCAGCACTTTGGGAGGCCGAGGTGGGTGAATCATTTGAGGCCAGGAGTTTAAGACCAGCCTGGCCAACATGGTGAAACTCCATCTTTACTAAAAGTACAAAAAATTAGCCAGGTGGTAGTGGCGTGCGCCTGTAATTCCAGCTACTTGGGAGGCTAAGGCAGGAGAATTGCTTGAGCCCAGGAGGCGGAGGTTGTGGTAAATAGAGATCGCACCACTGCATTCCAGCCAGAGTGACAGAGCGAGACTCTGTCTCCAAAAAAAGAAAAAAAACACAAGAAAACAGAAAACAGATAAAACAAGTGCAATTGTGGTAAGTGCTATGAAAGAAGCAAACAGGGCTGAGAAACAGAATAAAGGTGGGATGGGGTAGAGGATGATTTTATATGGGAGGAAAGGGGAAGATGAGAGAAGAGACATTTTTGTTGAGACAAGAGGATGAAAAGGTGCCCACTCTAGGAAGAGGAGGGTTTGGGGAAGAACTTAACAGGTGTAAAGATTTTTATCGGGTTTGAAGTCTAGTTCAAGGCAGATCTTTCAATATGGGGATCTGATTGGGACTGGGCAAAATTTATAACAGTTTAGGATTGGAGGACATGGTGAAGGGAGGGTCTTGAAGAATAAACAATTGTTTGATAAGCTACTGGTTTGCCCAGTTAAGCAAACTATTGTCCCGAGAAGGGGGCTGTTTGAGCAGTCTATTGTTCAGATAAATTGATTTTCAGGAAGTTCCTGAAGGAAATAATGAAGTTATTTACCAGTTTACAGTCTTATCTTCCTGGGGAAGAAATTTCTGGAACAAATATTAAAGTCATGCAGATGTAGGCAGCCTCAGTGAAATGATGTCACCGCAGGTGAGGCCGTTGTAGTCTGGCTGAGTGGTAGGTAATTGTGGCCTGGACTAGGGTGGGGTGGTAAAGACAGGAATGGATGGATTGGGATATATTTTTGGAGATAGGCCAGTGACTCACTAAATTGATTAGATGAGCGAGAAACAATCACAGATGATGGCTAGGTTTTTGACTTGAGCCATTAGGTAGGTGGTAGTACCATTTACTGGATGGGAAAGAAGATGGTACTGGGTTGGGGATGATGGTTAAAGGTTCAATGTTAGGGTTAGGATGTGGAAGCCATCCTCACAGGGTTAGCAAGTATTACATGCTAGGTTCTGGGCGGAAATACTGTTATAATTTAACCTTAATAGGCAAGTGCGGTGGCTCACACCTGTAATCCCAGCACTTTGGGAGGCCGAGGCGAGAGGATCACTTGAGCCCAGGAGTTTGAGATTAGCCTGGGCAACATAGCAAGATCTTGTCTCTACACAAAATGAAAAACAATTAGCCAGGCAGGGTGGCTCATGCCTGTGTATGTAGTCCCAGCTACTTGGGAGGCTGAGGTGGAAGGATCACTTGAGCCCAGGAGGTTGAGGCTGCAGTGAGCCGTGACTTCACCACTGCACTCCAGCCTGGGTGACAGCAAGACCGTGTCTCAAAAAAGAAAGAAAGAAAGAAAAAGCATTAATTAGGTTGCACTTTGGCGCACTTCCTTGTTGCTAAAAGTTCCATAGAACCAGATACTGACCATTTGCATCCCCATTTTTCCTATAGATAGGATTTCTGATGTTAGAATCATAAGGCTTTTGTTGAAGAATCGATTTGCATCCCCATTGTTCCTATAGATAGGATCACTGACGTTGGAATCATAAGGCTTTTGTTTAAGATTTGCTTAAGATGTTTTTAGCTCTTGAGTTCCAGCAGAATGGCTGATGCCACCAGTTTGAAGACCCTCACAGAGGAGCGTAATCAGCATGAGAATGCAGTTTCTTCATCTCCCTGTCCCGTGACTCTGCGTCACGGGACATCCACAGTGATCCCCACACCTCGGCCCACTCCAAACCCCTTAAAATCCCTAGCCCCCAACTCTTCGGAGAAGCAGATTTGAGGTTTTCTCTCCTCTCCTTGTTCAGCCTTGCATTTAAAATTCTTTTTCTGTTGCAACCCTCGGTGTTGGTGTATTGACTTGCAGGCCCTCAGGCAATGGACCCATTACGGTTACAATGTCTGTGAGGCCCTGGGGTAGAAACATCAAGTGTGTGGTTGGATAATAGTCTTGGATATTAAATAATTGGGAGAATCATCACCACATAGTTGGTACTTAAAGCTATGGAAAAGGACAAAATTTTACCTAGGGAGATGTGGTAGGAGGAAAATAGGGTGTAGGAGAGAGCCCACAGGGAATGCCCACCTGGAGACCAGGATGGAGGAGGGAACATAAAAAAGGGTGGCTGGGAAAGAGCAGCCAGTGAGGTGGGAGGACTCAAGAAAGTGTGGACTCATGAAGTGAGTGTTTCAAGGAGTGGCTGACTGGGTTACATCATGTAAATTTGATAGTTGTTCCTGGGAAATGGTGCAGTAGTAGAGAAAATCTAGAATCTTCAGTCAGATAGCTTCCTGTCTCACTAATTGGAGCTTCATTTTTCTTATCTCTAAAATGGGATTCCAGGTACTCAGGGACTTGCAAAGAGATGGAATTAAATTAAATTAAAAAATAAGATAAAATGGGGATAATGACACCAACATCACAGAACTGGGATAAGGTACAAATAGATACCATATAGGAAAACAGTATTGTGCCTAAGACCCAGTAGGGAGACACTTTATATCTTAATTTGGTGGCAGTGAGTGGAAGGGCTGATCTTTGCTCTTCCTCTCTTAATCTGCTGTTGCTAAGGACAGCTGCAGGGAGGTACCCACAATCAAGTTGCCCCCCTGAAGATGATCAGGGGCCAGAGAAAAACAACCAGATATATGGAAAACACAGGCATGTTGTCTGGGAGGAGGAAAGTCTTGGTGGCACTTGGGTACCCTTTTTTTTTTTTTTTTTTTTAGACAGAGTTTCCCTCTTGTTGCCCAGGCTGGAGTGCAGTGGCATGATCTCAGCTCACCACAACCTCCGCCTCCCGGGGTTCAAGCAATTCTCCTGCCTCAGCCTCCTGATTAGCTGGGATTACAGGCATGAGCCACCACGCCCGGCTAATTTTGTATTTTTAGTAGAGATGGGGTTTCTCCATGTTGGTCAGGCTGGTCCCAAACTCCCGACCTCAGGTGATCCTCCTGCCTCAGACTCCCAAAGTGCTGGGATTACAGGCGCGAGCCACCGCGCCCGGCAATTTGGGTAACCCTTTCATGATTTCTAGGATGGCTTCATCCATAGTTATCCAAACATCAAGCCTTTAATGTTGGCTTCTCCCACTCTCTTACACCCACCTGTTTTCTCCTTTCCATTCCCCCTACTCCCAGCTTAGCTCAGGCCTGCATCATTTTTACCCTGGCCACTGCCATTGTCTGGTCACTGGCCTCCTTCCTACCTCCAGCTAGATTGATGCCATCTGAGACCTTGCTTAGAATCCTTCAGTGGCTCCCCATTTCCTTCCATCAACAAGTATTGATCAATAAGTATTTATGAAGGGCCTGCTCTTTCCCAATCTCTGGCTAGGCACACTGGAGAGATACATCCCTGCCCTTGTGGAGCTTACAGTCCAGGGCGGAGACAGACAAATGAATGGTTACCATATTATTTACAAATGGGGTTTTTCCAGAGCCCACAGATGGGGCACCTGGCCCAGATATGGCCATCAAGAAAGGCTTCAGGGAAAGTTGATGTCTAGGCTGAGACCTAAAAGATGAATAAAAGGAGTTAGCCAGGCAAAGCAGTGGGCAAGGATGAGCCCTTAGAAGGCCTTCAGAGCCTTGCTGACCATCACCTTTGAACACATGCTGGCCACCCACACTGTGGGCATAGACTTATTAGTAGGTCCATGATTGTCACTCCTTTAATCTGCCCTACACCCACAGGTCCTTCCAAGACCCATTTCAGATGCCACCTCCCCCAAGAAGTTCCAGTCCCCATATCCCAGTGTCTTTGGTGGCCCTGTGCCCATTTGCCTGCCCTATCTTAGCCCTCTCCACTTCACTGCAATGGTATATTCACCCATTCCTTTACAAAATCAGAATCCAGAAAGGGCAGGACACCGTCTCATTTGTCTTCGTGTCCCCAGCACCCCGGTAAGCCAGGCATAGGTAGACTTTTTTTTTTTTTTTTTTTTGAGACAGAGTCTTACTCTGTCACCCAGGCTAGAGTGCAGTGGTGCGATCTCCACTCACTGCAACCTCTGCCTCCTGGGTTCAAGCAATTCTTCTGCCTCAGCCTCTTGAGTAGTTGGAATTACAGGCATGCACCACCACACCCGGCTAATTTTTGTATTTTTAGTAGAGAGGGGTTTTCACCATGTTGGCCAGGCTGGTCTCGAACTCCCAACCTCAGGTGATCTGCTGCCTTGGCCTCCCAAAGTGCTGGGATTACAGGCGTGAGCCACTGCGCCCGGTCATATGTAGACATTTGATAAATACGTTGAATGAAAGGAAACCAACTCTCCATTCTCCCCCACCCTCCCATATAATGGGACAGGAGAAAATAAGATTTATTTGAGAGGCTGCAAATGACAGGATTAGGGAGTGGTTGGAGATATCAGGAATCCGTCTAGCTACAGGTGAGATCAGGTTTTGTTTTTTTTGAGACGGAGTCTCGCCCTGTCGCCCAGGCAGGAGTGAGTGCAATGGCGCGATCTCGGCCCACTGCAACCTCCCACTCCCGGGTTCAAGCGATTCTCCTGCCTCAGCCTCCCGAGTAGGGGGTTACAGGCGCGCCACCACGCCCGGCTAATTTTTTGTATTTTTAGTAGAGACGGGGTTTCACCGTGTTAGCCAGGATTGTCTCCATCTCCTGACCTCGTGATCCGCCCCCGTCGGCCTCCCAAAGTGCTGGGATTACAGGCGTGAGCCACCGCGCCCGGCAGAGATCAGGTTCTTAAGGGAAGTCCGGAGAAATGGGGTTTTTAAAAAACCCGAGTCCAGGCTATCTGTTTGGAGGGGTTGGGAGGCTTGGAGCTGGACCAATAACTTCTTAGGTCTTGCTTTAAGGAGTGAAGATTCTCTGTAGCGACCCTCATACCTGGGCAGTGGGAGCGGGCAGAATCCTTCTTTCTTCTCTTCTCTACACCCCCTCACTCCACCCCCACCCTTCCCCGCCGCCCGTAAACCTTAGCTTTCCCCTTTCCAACAGAGGTTTCCAGCTGTTGATGCCTGGATGGACCCGGCTGCAGGGAGGAGGAGGAAACTCTCTGTCCCTCCCTTCTTCTGCAAGTCCCCACCCTCCCTCCCTCCTCCCCCTGCGCGCTCTCGGTCTCCCTCCCTCTTTCTCCTCTAGGCTGTCCAGTCGCCTCGCAGCAGCGAGCCGCGAGCGCCCTTCTCCAGTCCCGGCTTGGAACTGAACTGTGTGAGCACGGGTCCTGGAACCCGGGCCCAGAACCGGCGAGCCCAGGTCTGAGCCCAGAGCTCAGCGGTCAGCCTCGTAGGCCCTGACTCGGAATCGAGCCGAGGCGCTGAGGTTGGAGCCGGAGAGCGTGAGAGCCGAAGAGCAGGGAGGGCGGGCCGGCTGCGCGTCCGACGAGTCGCAGAGCAGGACCGCGGAAGGCAGGGAGACGGCCGCAAGCCCAGGGCAGAGGGCAGAGGGCAGAGAGCGGCCTGGCTCGGCGGAGAGGGCGCCGCCCGGCCGGAACCAAGCTCGCCGCCCGGGACGGCGGGCCCCGTGGGGCGCGGACCCAGGGTGGCCGTGGGTCCGCAGCGACTCCCCGGCCGACGGCGGGGGGCGTGCCCCCTCCCAGCCCAGCCTCCCCAACCCGGCCCGCCCGCCGCGTCGCGGGGGCATGTGAGCGGGAAGCCTAGGCTGCCAGCCGCGAGGACCGCACGGAGGAGGAGCAGGAGCGCGGAGCCGCGAGCCCCGAGCCCCGAGCCCGGCGCCTGGCTGAGTAGTAAGTGCACCCCTCCCCGCCATGATCGCGCCGTCGCGCCCATTTCCCCAGCTCTCTGAAGTTTGACACTTGCGCCCCTACGTTTCTGGGCACCCACCGGCTCTCTTCCCTGCGAGTTTCCACCCTGTGCAAAGTTTTTCGAGGAGAGACGGACCCTCACCTACCCCCAACAACGCTGGGCAGTGGCGGCTCCTCCCTGGCCGACTTGGGTCCTTGTGGAGAGGGATGGCAGCCTCTAAGGCAGTGCGTGGCTGTGTGTGTGTTTGTGTGTGTGTGTGTGTGTGTGTGTACGCGCGCGCGCGCGCGCGTTCACCACGCGGGTCGAGCTTAGGGTGCACCCCCAACCCGCTCCTCGCCGACCGCAGAGGACTAGGTCTTTCTCATCAGCCCGACTATGCGCCTAGTTTAAGGATTTCTCAGCGGGAAGCCGAAGCGACCTGCGCGCGTCCTGCGTGGGGCTCAGGTGCCTGCGACGAGGCGCAGAGCTCCTCCACCATGGTTGCGTGGGGTGCTGGGGGACAGACGCGCTCCCCTTGCCACGGTTTCAGGGTCGTTCCCCAGCGGACCAGACCAGCGCGGCATCCTGTTTGTTTTCTGCTCCGGCTGCTCCTGTCCCACCCCCACCCCCACCGCAGGCTGCTTCTTGCTACCCCCACCTCCCGCCCTGGGATATCGTAGGTGAGCCTTTTCATCCCGATTCCGCTGCAAACGCTGATCGCGCCTAGGGGTAGGGAGATGCGGAGCGGGTAGTCGTTCAGTTCCCAGCGGCTCGCCATTGTTTTCCCACCCCGCGCGTTCCGTACGTAAACACACACGCACACACAAGGTTGTGTGTGTGCGCCGGCTCTGGCTGCTTCCCGTCCCCAGGCGCGCAGGGATCGCCCGCGGGATTCGCTCAGCTGCCCGCATGGGTCTTCAGGCTGGAGGCGCTCCAGGACTTAACTGGAGCTGGAGAGGACAAGAGACGTGGGGGTTGCCGGACAGTACCGGGCGGGGCGGTGAGCCGGGCCTGGGCGGGAAGTGAATTTTGAACTTCAGCCCTGGACCTTTCCGGGAGGACCCCGAGCGCTGGAGCGGCGGCTCCCGCCCTGGAGGGCCCGCGGCAGCTGCAAAGACTCCGCTGGCGCTCTTGGCAGCCGCCTCGGTGACAGAGGCTTGGAGGAAGCCGAAGAGTTTTCCTGGGAAGTTTGCTTTGACTCTCTGGGAATTTCCGGGCAGGACGCCTCGGCGCTGGCGCTGGCGCTGGCGCTGGTGAAGGGGTCTGGCCAAAGACGGCCAGAGACGATGCTGCTGGCTCTTGACCACTAGGCTGTACTTGGCTCTCAGCAGTCCAAGTAGGTGGGTCTCTACCTCCCGGAGTTCATGCCTTCCAAACCAGTATCCCCCAAAGGATCACGACATGCCGGTTTCAAAGATGGGTGCATAACTCTGCTCGTTTTGGAGTCCAGGGAGGCAAGCTCGGTTCCAGCCGGGCGGCGCTCTCCGTCGAGCCAGGCCGCTCTCTGCCCTCTGCTCTCTGCCCTGGGCGTGGGGCTGTCTCCCTGCCTACCGCGGTTGTGCTTTCGGACTCGTCCGACGCGGCGCCAGCCCGCTACCTCCCGCTCTCCCTCTCCCCCGCTCCCTGGCTCCCCGGCTCCCTGACTCCGTAATCTGCGCCTCGGCGCAGTTGCGAGTCAGGGCCTGAGGCTGACCCCTGTTTCCACTGTGCTTCATTAGAAAGCGCTTCACAAGATGCTGGGATTCAGCACATTTGGATTCCAGTTCCCCATCGATGAGCAGCGTGGGTTTGGACTTCCCCGCATGCGAAATGGGCAGAGTTATGCACCCAACTTTGAAACTGGCATGTCGTGATCGTTTGGGGGATACTGGTTTGGAAGGCATGATCTCCAGGAGGGTAGGGACCCACCTACCTCTGGATCATTAAGGGCCAAATATAGCCTAGTGGTTAAGAGTCCTGGAGCTGGAGTTAGATCCCGGATGCCACTGGCGGTGTGACTCTGGGCAATTTAACTTAACCTCTGTGCCTCAGTTTCCTCAGCCATAAAATAGGGTTAATATGAACGCTTCATGGGGTTGTCTTGAGGATTAAAAGACTTAATAAAGTGAAACTGAGAACAGTGCCTGGCACATAATAAGTGCTAGGTAAATATGAGCTATTATTGCCATTATTACTTAACTGACCTTGTACAGAGCCCAGAAGAGCACTTGGTGATTGTGCTCAACTAATCAATTATAACATTGCCCACTTCTGGAGAGGAGGAGATCTTGTACTCTCTCCCACCCTTGCCTGATTCCAGCCCCTCAGATCAAACGTATCCTTCTTACTCCTTGTCTAGTGCCATCTTCTCGAGTCTTTTTTCTTTTTCTTGTTTCCTTCCTTTCTCCCTCCCTTCACAACTTTTGTGAAAGCATTTCATTCCCTCCTTTCCTCATTCTTAAAAATCAATCTTGGCTCAACTGCAGTGTTCTCTCCATGGAAATCAGGTCCCAGGAAGGAATTGTCTCCAAAAGGGTGTCCCTTGAGCGTCCTCAGCCTGGGCTGCTGGATCAGGATTGGATGTGCATTTGTGTCTCTGGGGCAGGGTGAATTTCCAGAGCAAAGAGCCTGTCAGGTGTCTGGGGCCCAGGGGAAGAGTCAGGTGGAATGGGCTGGGACTGTCCCAGGAGGAGCCCTGCTCCCTGGGTAGTGTCTGTGTCTCCTGCTGCTGGGCTCACTTGGGAACCTGGAATAGCACAGCTGCTTGGGTAGACTGGATGTGGGATTTGGGGTGAGGGGCAAAAGTGTCACCTCCAACTTTCCACTTGCAGTTGGAGGATTTTCTAGGAATTTGGGTTTGTCACAAGTTCCTTGTCTGATTCAGGACTCTGCAAATGCATAGCACAGGTAAGGGGCGAGCTGAGCAACCAGGAGGAAGAACAGGGTGCTGCTGCCCAGCCACACTGCCTTGGACAACAGGCTCCTGTCCTCCTTTCTCAGACCCTCCAACCTCCACCCCAGGCATGGGGGAGGATGGCCAGAAGGTTGCTTCTTCATGTTGGAGATCCTGCAATTGGCAGTTTTTAGTCATTATGACAACTGGCACTGCAGTCACCCCATTCATTCCTTCAACAGAAATTGTTGACCACCTGCTATGTGCCAGGGCCTGTGCTACGCAGTGGGATAACAGGGGAGAACAAGACAGGCAGCGTGCCTGCCTTCAAAGAGGCTTCTTTCTATTGTGGGGAGACAGACAGTAAATACTTTTAAGTAACCAAGACTATCAGATTATGACATGCAATGGGAAAGAAATACCACAGGGTGATGTGATAGAAAACATATGTAGGTCAGGCAGTGGTGGCCCTAGATTGGGAGGCCAGTGAAGGCCACCCTGGGGGAGAGGATAGCTCAGCCCAGGCCTTGAAGGCTGAGGAGCCAGCTGCATAAAGACCTGGAGACAGGGGATTGCAGGTAGAGGGAATAGCAAATGAAAGCCCCTGAGGCCAGAACAGGGGCAACAGCTATGTGGCTGGAGAGGAGAGACTGGAGAAATCAGAGGAGAGCCAAAGCCTGGTAATACTGGTTAGAAGCCTGGATTTTATTGCAGGCGATGCATCCATCAGAGAGTTTTAAGTGGGGGAGTGACATGATCTGCTCTATGATTTTAAAAGATTATTTGGGACACAAGAAACGGTAATCATAGTTGCCCCAAGGGAGGGAAATGGTGGCTGAGGGATGGGATGGAGAAAAGATTGTTTTTGCTGTAGACCCTTTTGTCCTTTCTGAATTTAGTACCAGGTGGGTATACAAACCATCCCCCAAAACCTCCCAAAAACGTGGTTAACAAAGAACAGTTTATAACCTGGAAAATTACATAAGAAGTGAAAAAATCAGGATATAAAACTACAGAGTACAATCTTAATCTTGTACAGAGAATTGTAAGTATACACATGGCTATCATGCACACACGCAAGGACAGAATCTGGGAGGATGCATCAGAATATTTACAGAGGTTAGCTCTGGATACTGGACGTATGGATGGTTTTAATTTCTTTCTTTATCTTCCATTTGTTTTTTCACTTTTCTACAATGGTCGTGAATTACTTTTGTTTGTTTGTTTGCTTGTTTGTTTGTTTGTTTTGAGATAGACTCTTACTCTGTCGCCCAGACTGGAGTGCAGTGGTGTGATCTTGGCTCACTGCAACCTCCACCTCCTGAGTTCAAGCAATTCTCCTGCCTCAGCCTCCCGAGTAACTGGGACTACAGGTGTGTGCCACCACACCTGGCTAATTTTTTTGTATTTTTAGTAGAGACGGCGTTTCACCGTGTTGGTTTGGCTGGTCTCGAACTCCTGACCTCAAATTATCCCGCCCTCCTCGGCCTCTCAAAGTGCTGGGATTACAGGCATGAGCCACTGCCCCCGGCCAATACCTTCCTCTTAGAACTGTTGGGAGGCTAATGGCTGATGATGTCTGCGGCAGCAGTGCTCCATGAATGGTAAGGGCTCTGGGGTTTTCTGTTGCCAGACAAGTGTCGGTTGAGCTAGGCCTATTCCACCAAGGGATCTAGGTGTCCTTGCCCTTGAGAGGCTGACACTGGATTCTACAAAGATTTTCTCCTCTCTGGGGGTGCTTTGAGATCGGTCCTTATTGGGCAGCTCCCCTGGGTAAGTCTCCAGGAAGCTGACACCACCGGAAAAAGTGGAATTCAAATGCAGCTGTGCTCCTGAGCCCCCTCCCCCAGCCACATTCAGGGGTGAAGCTGAGTGTTTGAAAAGGGCTCTGTGCTGGGAGGGCCGGCCAGGCACACAGTAAATCGTGCTTTGAATGGGAGTTATTTTTGTGCCCAGTGTTTGCTTAAGAGGGCTCGCTCCTGCCTGAACTCGTTGCGGTCCTCACCCTTTGCTAGTCCCCTTTCTGGAACCCGGATGTGTCAGCCAGGGAGGCCATCACAGTGCCTTTTACCAGATGGGGAACTAGACCCATGGAGGATTGCTTTCCCTCTCCTGTCAGCTCCCTGCCCCGAAGCAGGAAGGCATGCTCTAGATGGTGGTCTTTGCCTCGGTGACTACCCCCCTTTTGACTGGCCCTTCCTTAGTTCTTGGGAAGACTTGATTCAGAGATTGCTATAGGCCAGCTCAGCAGGGTTCCTCCGACCTCTGTCAGCTTCTCTGATAAAGAGTGACTGCTTTTTAAAAAATGCAAATACTTTCTCTGAGGAGCAGAGATATGGTAGTTCCCTCCTAAGAGCACTTGCTGTATGCCATGGACCCAGCTTAAAGCCCCATGGTGATGAAGCCTTTGCAGCTCCCCTAGGAAAAGATTTCTGGGCCGGGCACGGTGGCTCACGCCTGTAATCCCAGCAGTTTGGGAGGCCAAGGCGGGCGGATCACGAGGTCAGGAGATCGAGACCATCCTGGCTAAGACGGTGAAACCCTGTCTCTACTAGAAATACAAAAAATTAGCCGGGCGTGGAGGCGTGTGCCTGTAGTCCCAGCTGCTGGGGAGGTTGAGGCAGGAGAATGGCATGAACCCGGGGCCAAGATCGAGCCACTGCACTCCAGCCTGGGTGACGGAGCAAGACTCCGTCTCAAAAAACAAACAAACAAAAAAAAGATTTCTGTCCAGCCTGTGGTGTGGTCCACAGCATAGAACATTTTTTTTTTTTTTTTTTTTGAGACAGAGTCTTGCTCTGTCGCCCAGGCCTGAGTGCAGTGGTGCAATCTTGGCTCACTGCAACCTCCGCCTTCTGGATTCAAACAATTCTCCTGCCTCAGCCTCCTGAGTAGCTGGGATTACAGGCATGCGCCACCACGCCCGGCTAATTTTTGTATTTTTAGGAGAGTTGGGGTTTCACCATGTTGGCCATGGCTGGTCTCGAACCCCCGACCTCAGGTGATCCGCCCACCTCAGCCTCCCAAAGTGCTGGGATTACAGGTGAGAACCACCGAGCCTGGCCTCACAGCATAGAACCTTGTAGCTACCACCTGCTACTCCAGGTGGCTCTCCCGCCTTAGTGGGTGGCAGGGGGTCCTTCCTGCTTTAGGAATGCCCTGAGGCCTGCCTCCCTGCTCACTCCTGGCAAGAGCACATTGTGGTGCTGTCAGGGAGGACCTCCATGGTCTCAGATGGAACAGCAGCAGTGGTCAGACCTCCTAGAGGCTGTGAGGTGAGGAGGAAGTGGCTGAGGTTTCCCCTGCCTCCTCCTAAGGTCATCCATGGGCAAACCAAAGCTGCAGGATGTGCTGTGTGTGTGGCCTGGTATCTCAGAGTCCTGGGTGTGCACAGGGTGTGCACAGCTAGGAGACGTCCCGAGATCTGTACCCACATGTTGAGGGCTTCAGCCAGGGGTGTTTTTTGGGGGAGCGGAATTTGTGTGGCATAGTAGAGGAAAAGAAGGAAGAAGTGGGGACAGTATCTCCAGCTGCCACCTTTCTTCCCAAATAGCTTTGGATACCCAGGCCCTTTTGGTCACAGGAAGTCTGACACTGGGAAGTCATCAAATTTGGAATTCAGTTCCCTCCACTCTCCCCCCAGCGGTGGCCTTAGCATTTAAATAGCCTTGGCATGAAGCCCTATAAACTGCCCAAGGGATTGGGGCAGGGTTAGGGGGAGGGGTATTGGTGTTACCCCCAACATTGTCCCCCTGTGTCTTCTGGGGACATGTCCAAGCTAGGGTGTCAGTGTTTTGGCTTGAGAGGAGAGAGGGGAAGGGGCCACAGACTGGGCAGGAGCCCTCCTGGCTCCCCTCCCGCTCTGGTGGTTTTGATCGTAATCCCTGCCTGCCAAGCCTGGAGCTCCCTGGGGGATCCGCCCCAGAGGAGGCCCGACTGTTCTCCTCCCCTCTGCCTTACCTCCCCCAGTCCCCGCCCCCTGCTTGACTCAGAATGGAATGTGCAGCCTGTGGAACAAGATGGGGTGAGAACTAGTTCCCAGAGGGCCTTGGTCCCGCCCCTCCCATCCCCCAACAAAGGGGGTGAGGAACCTGGAGGCAGGGCCTGCTCCCAGGTATGGCTGGTGTTTCCCTGATGCAGACTCAGGTCCTGTGCTGAGTTGGTGCAGAGGCAGGCAGGTGCTGTGGGGGTCCAGGACTAGCCATTTGAAGGTTTTCATATAAGTCCACCATGCGGGGCAGGTGCTGAGTTAGAGAAAGTGCAGCAGGCAGAGCAGCTCCAACTCCAGCTTCTGTAGCTGGGGGTGGTCAATATCCTTTGTTGACTTTTTTTTTTTTTTTTTTTTGAGATGGAGTTTCACTCTTGTTGGCCAGGCTGGAGTATGCAATGGTGCCATCTCAGCTCACCGCAACATCCGCCTCCCAGGTTCAAGCAATTCTCCTGCCTCAGCCTCCTGAGTAGCTGGGATTACAGGCATGCGCGACCATGCCTGGCTAATTTTTTGTATTTTTAGTAGAGACGGGATTTCTCCATGTTGGTTAGGCTGGTCTCGAACTCCCGACCTCAGGTGATCCGCCTGCTTTGGCCTCCCGAAGTGCTGGGATTACAGGCATGAGCCACCACTCCCAGCCATGACTTCTTTCTTTTTTTTAAAGATCGTGGCTCATATTCGTTTTCTTATTTCTGTAGTCTCTAAGAGTAATACAACAATGTGTATCACTTTCGTCATCAGGATGAAAAGGATTTAAAATAAATCTAATATTTCCAGATAGTGAAACAGAAATGTCATCAGTGTTTGTTTCCACGGAAGACCAAGAGGAGTCACGGTTTGACCAGCGCTAAGAGGGGATGTGGCAGGAAGAGTGGTTGTGCAAATGTGTCAGACTGGGCTGATGCCCTTTCACGATGACAACTGAGTGGGCCCCACGGACCCCCTGGCGGGCTCTGGGGGTGGGGGTTGGGGGGTTGCCTGGGACTCATGGGGCCTCCTGCTTTGGCCCTGGCGCCTAGGAAAGGCTAGACAGGGAGGGGAGCCTTGGCGTGAGCTGCCCTCACACTGACTTAAAAGCATTAACTCTTGCCTGGCCACACAAGGCAGGACCTGGCACTCCTCAGAGTGGAGGGTGAGGAGGGTTTTCTGTCTTAGCCCTCAGCCTGTGTGGGGTATGAGGTCCCCCACCCTCATGCGAACAACCTCTCCCCACCCTCCAGCCCTACTGAAGGAGTCTGAAGTCACTCAACCATCCTTGTGAGGTTTTGGTTCTGGCCTGTTCCATGAGGGTGGGGTAGGGTGGGGAAAGAAGGGGGAATAAAATGTAGTGGGGAGGGGTGGAAGGAAGCCTGTGTGCAGGTACAGCCGTGGCTCAGAGGCAGGTGGGGTGAGGGCAGTGGGGCTTGAATAGGGCGCTGTCGAAAGCAGAGGGAGTGGCCCCTTCAGCCCCTGCTGTTTCTCAGGCTTGCCCGGCTCCTCTTTTCTTGGCTGGTGGTGGGGTGTGTGTGGGGGGGAGGGAAGCTGAGTGTGATGTGTGTGTGAGTGTAATGTGAGTGTGATGTGTGTGTGGGTGTATGTGTGGGGGGCCAGGTGTGTGTGTGTTTGTGAAGGGCTGAGCGTGATGTGTGTATCTATGAGTGTGATGTGTGTGTGTGGAGGGCCAGGTGTGGTGTGTGTGTGTGTGTGCACATATGTGTGCAGGCAGGCAGGGGCCTGTGCTCTGGAGACCCTGGCCAGGCTCCTCCAACCCATGGGAACCAGGCAGGGCCTCCGAGAACTCCAGGGAGACAGTGAGGACATTAGACGGATGTCAAGAAGGAAGGGAGAGTAGAATGGAAGAAAAAGGAAGAGTCAGAACAGCCAGCTTCTGGTGCCCCAAGCACGTTGGGGTTTCAATCCCAGTATACCTGGGGAGGAGCAGTAGTGGGCTATCACCCCCTTCCCTCCTTTTGCTGTCAACTTTGTTTCCGGGGCAGTCATGGAACCCCAGCCATCCCCCTCGCCCGGGAGCACTTAATATGGGAGTGTCTGGCCAGGGCAAGGGGCTGAGGAAGAGAAAGGAGAGGTAGAGAAAGACCCAATGGTGGGCTCCCTAACTGGGGCTTGTGGGGCAGGGAGAGGAGGCCTCTCCTCCCTATCCAGTAAACTCCTAGGGACCAGAACAGGAAACAGGGTCAGAGAATAGAGAAAGGGGACCTGTGTCAAATCTTGACTTGGGTAGAGGTGGGTAGCAAGAGGGCTTTCTGTTTGATATCTGAGTAGACAAGGGATGGACTTGACTGCTCTCGGCCAGAGAATCCTTGAAATGGGTGTACAAGTCTAGGTGAATGGGCCTTTCTTAGAGTTGTGCAGTGCACAGTCTGTACAACTGTACACGATAGCCTGTTGGAACTGGCTGAAAGCATCAGGGACCTTTGGTTTTCATAATGTAAATTCCCCTTCTCTTCTACTGGGTTCACCTGACCTTAGATCCGTACTTCTCACCATGGTGGCACCCTCCATTTGGGGCTCATTTTGGCTATCTGTGTTACCCTTTTCTGGGCACTGATTAACTTGAAGTTTGGAGAACCAGAATTGTGTGTGTAGTGGGGAAGGGGGTTGTGTGTGAGTGTTGGTGTGTTTGGCAGTTTAGAGAGGGTCTGTTGGACTGTTGACACCCTTTATTGAGCCTGAGTCCTCTTGGGCCAATTGGCCACAGGTGTAAGGAGCCTCCTGATTCCTGAGTCAGGACTGATGGGGTTTAGGAGCTCTCAGATGGGGCAGGTAAGACTGAAAGGAGGCACGTGGGGAAGAGAGGAAGTTTCTGCCTCACCTGACAGCAACCCCTGCCCCAGGCCCTTCTGCTTTTCCTCAACCCACAGGGTCTTCTTTATATCCCTGCCTTCCTCTCTCTATCTCCCATCATCTAAACTCATCCATTCCTTGCCCTTCGGGATCCGTGCTCCTTGATCTCTAAGGAGATAGCTTGGATAGTCAGCTTTACCAATCTAGGTGTGTGGACAGATTAACAGGTAACTCCAGAAGCACATTGGCCTTTTAAGCAGCCGCGGGGCCTTACTAATCCAAGAGGTGATTGAAAAGCAAGAACTTGAGGTGGAGATGGAGTGGATGTTGGGGACTGCGGGGGCCTTCTCTGGTCCTCCGTCCCTGAGGCAGGTATGTAGGGAGCACCTGCCTTGTGGCTATGCCGGGCCACCCTGGGCTGGGGCTGAAAGACCATGAAGCCAGCATAGCCCTGACACAACTTGGAGAAAGTGAAGTAAGTAACTGATACCAGTACTGACAAACTGAGGGGAGGGAGGGACAGGGCAGGATGTTTCGGGAGCACCCACGAAAAGTTCCCTGAAAGACATAACATAAAGATCTGGAGGGTGGGGAGGAGAACAGGTCAGAGGGAAGAGGAGGTCATAAGGGTAGGTCCCCTCCACATCTCCCAGGGGCCCCACCTGGGCCTCTAAGGGCATGTCAGATGGTCCTATTCCTCACTAAGGACCCAGGCACACTATGACTTTGCGGGAAGAGTGAGTGCTGGGCATTTGAAGACAAGGTGGCCAGGGGCTCCCAGAGCTCAGGGGCCTTATTCAGCTACAAGTCGTGTGTGCAAGCACGGGGCAGCATGGGTTTTGGTGTGCACTACCATACGTGGGGGCCCTGCCTGTGGTGTGGTGCTGTGGGTTCAAGCAGGACTTGGGCACTCTGTGGTGTGTGGCCCAAGCTGCCAGGGGATTGAAACCCCAAGCCTCTCCCAGGCAGCTGTGGGGGGTGCAGGATTGCTAGGGCCAACTGCAAATTAGCCAGGCTGGCATTAAATGCCTTTGCTGCCTCTCTCCTCCTGTCCCTCCCTACCCTCCTGAAAATCAACAACTGTGTCAACAGCAGGGTGATTGTGCTTGGCCAGCAGCCTCCAGGGCTGCCAGGACCAGGCAGGTGCTGGCAGGGGCTGCTGGAGCCCCATGCTGGGAGCAGGCTGGGCCTAGCTGCCAGGGCTGCAGGATAAACAAGGCCGCACACAGGCTCAGCCGGGAGGGAGGCCACAGGCAGGCAGGAGGCGAGAACAGGTGTCTCAGGAGCTCTGTAGACACAAAGGGCCTCTTGTCTCCTCCTCCCTGGCCTCAGGGAGCCAGCCCCTTCCTCCCTCCTCTCAGGCCCCGCCCAGAGATCAGTGACCAGGTCAGCCAGGGGATGCTGTCTTCCAGATTCACCCCCTTGCCTCTCAGGGTTTGTTGTTGCTTGAGACAGAGGTGAGACTAGACCATGTGGGGGTGAGGTGCATTAGCCTGAGAGGTAGGAAATCTGCCTCTGAGCGAATCCACCAGCCCTGAGGTCTCTGTGTGTTTCAGTTTCCCTGCTGGAAAGACAGCAAGATCTCTCCCACTGGGACACCCAAACATGAAATGGATGGGAGATGGGAAAAGCATCTGGAGATTTGGGGAAGAAAGACGTGGTGAATGTCAGGAGTGATGGAAGCTAAGATGAGACTTAAGGGATTCCAGGTGGGATTTAGGGCAGGAGGTGGCCAGGGTGTGGCAACCCTCCTTCCTCCTTACCTATTTCTAAAGCAGACCTTTACAGAGCACCTACTGTGTGCCAGCCACTGCACTAGGGACTGGGGAGGACATGGAGAATAATATAGTACCAGCACAGACAGACAGGCAGCTTCTGGAGCCAGACTGTCTGTGTGATCTTGGGTAAGTAATCTAGCCTAACCATAGAGATGATAACAATTGTACCTGCCACAGGCTCATGGGGCTATTGTGATGGTGAAATGTAAAGATGTAAAGTATAGAGAAAGGATGTAAAACTGCCCGACATATAGTAAGGGCCATTTAAAAGATGCCTGTTATTGTCCCTCTTCTTGAGAGCATATTAAGGGCTCAAATCTAGCCAGAGTCTGGCGGGTACAGAGGTAAACAAATAATGGCAGGTTGGTTAAGTACTGGACACCAGTGATGTCCAAGGTCTCTAGGATGCCCTGGAGAAATAATGAACTCTTCTAAGATTGTTTGGAAGGGATTTATAAAGGACATCTAGGCTGGGTTTTGAGTGAGGTATGGGAGTTCGCTGGTCAAGAATGTAGGAATTACAAAAGCAGAAAGTGCATATTTAAAAAAAAAAAAAAGATCCAGGCCTGGTGGCTCACCCCTGTAATCCCAGCACTTTGGGAGGCCGAGGCAGGTGGGTCACGAGGTCAGGAGATCAAGACCATCCTGGCTAACACGGTGAAACCCCGTCTGTACTAAAAAAAAAATACAAAAAAATTAGCTGGGCGTGGTGCCGGGGGCCTGTAGTCCCAGCTACTCGGGAGGCTGAGGCAGGTGAATGGTGTGAACCCGGGAGGCGGAGCAGTGATCGTGCCACTGCACTTCAGCCTGGGCAACAAAGCAAGACTCCGTCTCAAAAAAAAAAAAAAAGAAAAGAAAGAATGTAGGAAGTGCCTTCTAGCCTTCTAGGCAGAGACACCATGTGAGCCAGACCCCGGAGGTGTGAAAGTATGAGTATGTGTCCTAAGTACATGTTTGTGAGCACAGCTGGAGGAGTGGCCTGGGCCAGGTGTGGAGGGCCTGTGCAGCCTGGAAAGGAGTTGGGGCTCATCCCAAGCTCCTTGCCGGTTCCTCCAGGGTCGGGTGCCAGCTTTGGCCATCACTGTGTCTATCTTCCCTCCCCCTCCTCAGTTCACTGCATTATGAATAACTCAGCTTTGCACACTCTGGAGTAGCCTTCAACTTTTTAAAAAATTTTTTTTGTTTTTGAAATGGAGTCTCGCTGTGTCGCCCAGGCTGGAATGCAGTGGCGCGATCTCGGCTCACTGCAACCTCCGCCTCCCAGGTTCAAGAGATTCTCCTGCCTCAGCCTCCCGAGTAGCTGGGACTACACACATGTGCTGCCACACCCAGCTAATTTTTCTATTTTTCATAGAGAAGGAGTTTATCATGTTGGCCAGGATGGTCTCTATCTCTTGACTTCGTGATCTGCCCGCCTCGGCCTTCCAAAGTGCTGGGATGACAGGCATGAGCCACTGCACCTGGCCTGCCTTCAACTTCTAGAAAGGCAGGATAGTTTAGTGACAACATCATGGGGTGTTAGAGTCAGAAAGTTTGGAAGTTTCTGGGTTTTGACTCTAAATATGGAGCCATTTACCTAATTTCTTTGAGCCATATTTTCTTTATCCATAAAATGGCGTAATGGTTCTCCCTTGTGGCAGGGTGATGGTACGGATTAGAGAAAGATGTGTGTGTGCTGGGCTCACAGTAAATGGTAGCTATTAGGGTCCCTCTGTGATCTGGCTCATGTCCGAAGCCTGTCTGGGCCTTGGTCTCTAGATCTGTAACAAGGAGACAATGGTCTTTCTCCTTCCTTTTTTTTTTTTTGAGACGGAGTCTCACTCTGTCACCCAGGCTGGAGTGCAGTGGCGCGATCTTGGCGCACTGCAAGTTCTGCCTCCCGGGTTCACGCCATTCTCCTACCTCAGCCTCCCGAGTAAGCTGGGACTACAGGCACCCACCACCAGGCCCGGCTAATTTTTGTATTTTTAGTAGAGACGGGGTTTCACCGTGTTAGCCAGGATGGTCTCGATTTCCTGACCTTGTGATCTGCCCGCCTCGGCCTCCCAAAATGCTGGGATTACAGGCGTGAGCCACCGCGCCCAGCTTTTCTCCTTCCTTCCATGACTTCTGCAGAGGCAAAAGGGCCAGGCTGCCCATCACCTGGGTAGATAAGTCAGGCTGGGAGGCCTAGGACTGCTCGCCTTATACAGAGGGGTCAGGTGCCTGCCTTCCCAGGGGCACCAGCTGGACCCTGCTGACTCCATGGTGGCTGCAGCTATCTGTTCCAGGACCTTCCTGTAGCTTCCCAGGGCCTGCTCCCTGTGCATGAGGCAGTAGGCCCCCCTGTCCCACCTTTTCTTATGGGAGCACCCTGACATCTCCCCTTTCTGTCTGTGCTGGTGTTTCCGGGAGGTGCTGGGACCACCAGTGCTAAGGCCCTGGTCTAGCTTCTACTGCTAATGGCTTGTATGCCCTCAGGGCTGTCACTTAGCCACTTGGAGCCTTACTTCCTCCATCTGCAACTTGGGAAGGAGCATTTTGAGTTCTCTTGCTATAAAGTAAGAATTCTGGTTTGCTGGAAATAGAGTTAGATGAGGATGATGACAACCACACTGGCAGTTTTTGCTGCAGTTTCAAAGCCCGGATGTGGAGTCAGACACTTTGCCACAGCCCCGCACAGGATGCTTCTGTGAGGCTTGTCTCGGGTACCTCATAAAACCTTCTAGTTTGGAAGGGCAGGGAGCATCTACTCCTCAGATTTGGCAGATGAGGATATTGGAAATTGTCTAGGTAGTGGGGCTTCCAGAGTCCCACCTGGCTGTGGATCTGCAGGGATGAGGCTGGTCTATGCGGTATGTCTGACTCTGTTCAGAACAAGTGACAGCCCACACTGGGATCTTGCTTTAGAGTCCCTTGGCCTCCTGCCCTGGCATCTTGCCATTGGTTTTGGGGAAATGGTGATGGGAAGGGCCCATTGGGTCTCCAGACAGTCACAGGGAACCATCCTGAGACTGGATCTGGAAGGATGTGTGCTTGTAGGGCCCTCATTTACCTTCTCCTCCCTCACTTCCCACCTTGGCTGTGGACGTAGCCCTGTTTTCTCTTCCCCTGTGGTCATGTTTCTCAGATAGCCACAAAGTGGGCTGAGACCAAGGAGAGGCATTGGTGCAAAGGGGATGCTGGTCGATTCGGCTGGGGACACTACTCTGGGTTCTCCTAGCCAGGTGGTCAGATGACTCCCTACGTAGCCTTGGAAACTGCCCAAATAAGAAAGAGAGCGAGGCAGAAAGAGCAGCAGGGACACTCGGATTTTTCCAGGGGCTTTGTCCATATTTACATGGCATTTGCATATAACCAGTACACTAAACATAATTTTATAATCTATCCCCAGGCACATTCAGATTTGCCTTTTACTCTTGTTCTTTCCAGAGATGGCTGGTTCTGCCTTTTTGCACCTGTCTGTGCCTTCTCACTCCTGTCCCGTTACCCCCACTCCCAGACTGGGGGTAGGTGACTGGGAACAGAGTCAGTGTGGGGTAGGGGTCATTCCTGCTGTTGAACTGATCTGATAAGATGAGATCAGACCTGACCTCTCTGGGCTTAGCACAGACGGCTGGATGCACAGGCCCAGCCTCCCCTCTGCATCCCACCCCAGCGGCCACCACCTCGCCTCGTCAGGGATCAGGACACCATGCCTGGCACTCAGCAGGTACCCATTAAATGTGAAGTGAAAGCTCAATTAGAGTTCGGACAAATACATACTGTGCAGGCTCCTCGGGACCTGGCTTTTGAGCTCATGAAGGGAGATGCTGGTGGGTTGAGGGGAGCCTCCAGTGGTCCAGAGGGTGGGAGGAATCAATTTCCCTCTCAGCGATTGTGACCAGGGAGGCATTTCTTTCTCTGCTTGGCCTTGCAGGAAACAGTGTTGAGAATGAGAGGAGCAGAAAGGAAGAGCTAGGCCTTGTATTAATTTGTTTTTCAGATTGAGTCTCTGTTACTAGCAATTTATTACATCCGGGTCTCCAGCCAAGCACATTCTGTTCTCCAGTGTTGGGGGAAGATGCATGGGGGGGTGGGGAAGAGGCTGGACAGGAAAGAGGAGCAGATCAACAATTTTATGACTGAGTGTGTGGTGTCTTGGCGTGCGCTAGAGGACGGTTTTAGCACAGGGCATTTTGAGCCCAGCCCCGTGTGGGGAGGCACTCCTCTGGACAGCATGGCATTCCCATGCGAGCCCAGACAGCCCTGGGGAGCAGGATGAATGGGCTTCCCTCCCACTCTCATGCCCGCCGGCCTCAGGGTCCAGATTTCTCTCTGTGAAATGAGGTCAGGACAGTGATGCCTGGAACAAAATCATAGTTTCTTGAGGCAGCGGGGCCTGGGGAGATCCCTCCGAGGAACAGGGGAGCAGCTGTGTGAGGGGACCCCGGAAGAGGGGTAGCAGGCAAGGCGGCCACCCTGTGGAAAGAATGGTGCACAAGCAAAACAACCCCCTCTCTGCAAAAGTGCTGAGCTGGTGGAATTTCACTTGGCGGCTGTGAGATCAGGGCAGTAGATAGAGCCCTGCGGGCACCAGGGCTGTGTGGGTGCAGGGGGTCCCGGAAGAGAGGGCAGGGGCAGCACCTGTGGCACCCTCTCCCCTGAGCTGGCCTCCACATTGCCCAGGGCTCATCACTGGTCCCCATTCCTGGAGGTGCGTCCCTTATCTCTATCCACCTGTCACGTAAGTTGGTCTCATTCTTCCCATTTTCCCTCATTCTCTTCCCAACTGTGGCTTTGACTAGAAGTAGCTACATCATCTAGTCTTCAAGGGGCCAGCATTGCGTAGAGGGCCATGGTGCCAGAGGGCAGGGAACTCTGGTAGGAGGAACTCTCTCCGACCAGGATGGTGGTGGCTGAAGCCCCCGGGGCCTCTGCCTTATGGCTGGGCCTCTGGTGGGAGCCCAGGCTGCTTAGGGGAGAGTGAACCCTTCGGTAGTGGTTTTTTGCATCCCAGCCACATCTTCAAGCTGGGTGCCATTGGATGGTTGTTGAAGGGCAGATTCACTGGAAGGATAAGAAGCTCTGGTGGGACTCTGGGTAGAGCCAGCACAGAGAATGTGTGTGTTGGGCAGTCGGGGAGAGAGGGTGTTAGGCAGGGAGAGCATGGGCCTGGTTTCCAGCTGTGAGGTTTGAACTATTATTATCCTCCACACTGAGCTGATGGCCACTTAACCCTGAGGCTGGTTACTTGTTCTCTGTTCTCTGGGTTGACTGCCTCCTCCCTGACTAGCTCAAGACTTCTTCTTCTTCTTTTTTTTTTTTTTTTTTGAGATGTAGTCTCACTCTGTCACCCAGGCTGGAGTATAGTGGCATGATCTTGGCTCACTGCAACCTCCGCCTCCAGGGTTCAAGCGATTCTCCTGCCTTGGCCTCCCGAGTAGCTGGGATTACAGGTGTGCGCCACCACACTCGGCTAACTTTTTTGTATTTTCAGTAGGGACAGGGTTTCACTATGTTGGCCAGGCTGGTCTTGAACTCCTGGCCTCAAGTGATCCACCCGCCTGGGCCTCCCAAAGTGCTGGGATTACAGGTGTGAGCCACCATGCCCGGCCAAGCTCAAGACTCTTGCCAAAGGCTCAGGAAAGGATGAACTCAAATTCGATTCAGCACGGGTGAATTTGGTAAGTGTGTATTGAGCATGGATTCTGGGCCCAGTGTTCTGCTAAGATGAGCATCTGTAGGGCACCTTTGCACCAGGTGCTGTAAGGAACACCGGTGACTTACAGAGGCTGAGGAGGCCCTGTGGGGTGGGAAGGGATGGTGTTAGTTTAGATTGCAGTTAGGCGGAGACCATCCAGGTTAGAAGGAACCTTGGACACGGGCCGAGGAGCTAGGACTTTGTTGACAATGGGGAACCAGAGGATCTGTCAGAGAACTTTCAGAATGGGTGGCTCATTCATTCAGGCTGAAGCTGCTCTCTCATTGTCCTGCAAAAAATTCCAACAGAACACTGTTCTTTTCCTTTCCATTCAAAGACATTTTTGCTGCCTTCCGTATTGAACTGCCTGGTAACTGAGACAACTTTCCCTTCCCTGCCAGGGCTAGTGGGTTCCCAGGGCTGCCACCCTGGGAAAAAGACAAGTCGCGTTTCCTCGTCTGCCCTGACCCATGCTGCTCACGGCTTTGGTCCCACTGGGACCCAAACGAATCAGTGTGGCCAGCTTTCCTGGGATATCCAGCATGTGCAGTTTCCAGCATGAGCATGCTTATATTGTTCAGGATCGAGGAATATTGATCTCTAGATGTCTTTTTAAAACCAATGGTTTGGTATATTTGTGAATGAATGAGATACTCATCCAATGGATAAGCTTTACCAAGCCCTCATTATGTGAAAGGCACTGGGCAAGGCTAGGGGTGAGGGGATCAGACCCCACCCTCAGGGATGCTCTAATCTCTCTGGGGAGGTGAAACAGTTCATTGTGGGAACAAAGCCTCTTTCCCATCTCTGTAGCCTTGGGTTGGAAGGCTGGGGGCAAGGTGAAATCAGACTGGGGTTTGAGTCCTGGCTCTGCTTCTGAGCCCTGTGATTTCTGGCAAATAACAGAACTTTTTTCGTTTTCTTTGTGTGCGTGTGCGTGTGTGTGTGTGTGTGTGTGTGTTTGTGTTTTAGATGGGGGTCTCACTATATTGCACAGGCTGGTCTTGAACTCCTGAGCTCAAGCAGCCCTCCCACCTGAGCTCCCAAAGTGCTGGGATCATAGGCGTGAGCCACTGTGCCCCACCTCTTTCTTAGCTTTGGCTCTTTCTTTCTTTGTTTCTTTGCTTTCTTTCATTTGTTTGTTCTTTTGTTCATTCTTTCTTTCGTTCTCTGTCTGCCTTTCTGTCCTTTCTGTCTTCTTTTTTCTTTCCTTCGCTTTCCTTCTTCTGTCTCTTTCACTTTTTTTCTCTCTTCTTTCTTTGTTTCTTTGATGTAGGGTCTTGCTCTGTTGCCCAGGCTGGAGTGCAGTGGCACGACCCTAGCTCACTGCAGCCTTGAGCTCCTGGGCTCAAGTGATTCTAGCTGTGACTTAGGCATGTGCTACTACACATGGCTAATTTTTAAGTTTTTTTGTAGAAACAAGGTCTTGCTATGTTGCCCAGGCTGGTCTTCAAAGTCTGCCTTGGTCTCCTGAAGCACGCTGGATTATAGGTGTAGGCCCACCACACCTGGCCCAGAACTTTTTTTTCTTTTTTTTTGAGACAAGGTTTTGCTCTGTCACTCAGGCTGGAGTGCAGTGGCATGATCATGGCCCACTGCAGCCTTGACCTCCTAGGCTCAAGCAGTCCTCCTGACTTGGCCTCCCAAAGTGCTTGGATTACAAGTGTGAGCCACCACTTGTGGCCTCAGAACTTTCTTAAACCCTAGTTTTCTCACCTACAAAGTGGGAAAAGAATAACACCTACTTTGAGAGATTAAAAGGATTTAATGAAGTGATGTATATATTATGGCCCTTAGTATAGGACCTGGAGTATAGAAGGCTTTGGTAAGTGGGAGCTGATATTAGTGTGATGGCTGCTGTGGAGGTGGTTGTTGAAGTCTGTCCTGGGGTGGGGACAGTCCAGCATTCCTGGGCCTACTTGGATTTAGGGGGCTGCTCCTCCTAGGGTCATGGGCATGGCCTTTATGGGGTATGGGAAAGGAGGGGAATCAGCTTCCCGGTGTGTGGTGGGGACAGGCACTGTCTCCTATAACACCTCCTTTGGTTGCTACGTGCAGATTTGCTGTGCAGCACGGGTCAAGTTACTTAGCCTCTCTGTGTTTCCGCTTCCTAACTGAAATGCCATTAATCACAATGCTCTCACTTGAGAAGAGAGAACATTAGAAGGGTCACATGAGAAGAGTCTAGAATAGTGCGTGGGAATCTTATCCAGGTGTTGGCTATTTGTTGCTGTGATTATTCTGTTTTTGGAGTGACCCCCATTCAGTCAAAGAAGCAAGGGTGAGAGCTGCTGTCCCAAGTGTATCAGCATAGGGACGTGGGGACGTGGGGGAGGTGGACTGGGGCATGGACCTCGCTATGCTGGCCCCAGGGAGCAGCCTAGAGAAGGAAAGAAACTGTTTCTCGAATGCTAGCTGTAGGTAGGGCGTTCCCAGGTGTGACTGAAATGACAGTCTGGCTCAGAGCACACTGCCTTTTCTTCCCACCTTAACTGGTTACTAAGGGGACAGTTCTACACTACACAGGATTGATTTCTGTGAAATCTATGGAATTTACATATAGTTTTGAGGGGCTGCTTTGAGGCATGAAGCCACCGTATTCACAAAACCCAGCTGCGGGTGAATTGCAATTTATAATAATAAACAGCCTGTACCTGACCTTTGGACCCTGGGTGCTCAGGATGATGCCTGTGGGGCCTGACAGGAAGTGAAGGCGGTGGCATGGGTGTGGGGGGCCACCCCTCCCTCTGACCATGGTGGCGGGTGGCATCCAGGCCCAGAGAAGCCTTGTCACTGGCTGTCCCCTTGGCACCCAGCCCAGCAGGCGGAGAGGGTTAATTGGGATTTGGAGTGTCTGTGGAAAGTAGCCTCTTCTCAAATA